>NC_000009.12:32131212-32282727 GCF_000001405.40 Homo sapiens | reverse complement strand
CATAATAAAAATGAGCTTTGGCACATTAGCTGCACAATTTATCTTTAAAACACTTCACACAAACAAGTGAATTAATCCTCCCACCCTCTACATGACAAAGTTAAAAAATTATTACCCCCCTTTTGGTTTAACAACTTAATTTTATTTAAATAACTTTTAGTTTGAATGTTTTTGATTCTACACGATGCCTTCCTTAGTGACAGATTCATCATTGTCTTCCAGGAGACCCATCTGATGAAGTGGCACTCCCAAAGAAAAGATAAAGTCAAATCTGGCTGGCCAGTTACAACTTCAGAGCTCTTTCATAACTTTCTGAGGTTGTAGATAAATTGGACCTTCGCAGAAGACCGTGGCTGTGGACAAGTAAACAATTCCTATCATACATTTCTCACTGGAGGGAAAGTTAAAAGTTAGATTCAATAAAAGTGACCGCCATGACTTAACTAAACCATCCAGCATCTCCTTGCCGACAGCCTGCCTTATATTTACATGAAAGGATTTCCTGCCAGTTTATCATCTTAGTCTTAATACCTAGGCCTTTATCCCCTCATCTCTATCCTACCAATTGCCTGTCTTTTCATTTTGCACAGATGGAATGGGCAATTGAAGAAGTAAGGCATCATTACCTTCTTCTTTTTAAAGATGTAGGGAGTGAGCACCAGGTTCTGTTCTCAGCAAACCTCTTTAATCCTAGTGGGGTTGGTTATAGCAACTTCAAGCCTACCTGACTCCAGTTTTCTCTTCCAAATCAATCTTTAATCCTCAAAAAGGTTGATTTGATTGCACAGTCCTTGCTTACTGTATTTCAATGGTTCCCTAGGGTTTTCATATTATAGCTGGAGTTCCTTAGCTTGGGAAAAAAAATTCATTTTAAGCCCCTTGACTCTCCTTTATTTTTGTATTTAACTTTTTAAAATAAAAAAATCTGAAATATCCTAACATGTAGAAATTTGCAGAAGATCATTCATCTTTCTAAAAGCTAGCTTCCTCTAGTCATCATTTCCCACTCTATGCACCAGCCATGACTTGAGCCCCTAAAATTTCTCTTGCTATTTAACACTTCCATGATTGTGTCAATCCTGCTTTATTATCTGGAACATCCTTCCCCTCATACTGATTATTTCTCAATGCTCAGCACACCTCAATGACATGTTTTCTGAGGTTTCCATGTAGAAATATCTACTCTTTTCTTTGCGCTCTGGTCTCACCATACTTCTATTATTGAACTTTGGGCACTGTCTTGGAATTATTTACTAAATTATAATCCCTATGAGGGCAGGAATAGTGTTGTTAATTAATCCCCCAGAGTCTAGCATTGAACATGACACATGGTGTTCAATAAATATTAATTGATTAGATACATTTATGAGCCCTATATAGGAAATGTGAATTTTCCATACTGCAGAACTTAAACCATATGCCCCCTTATTGCCTTCACCTCTTCAACTCAGATACTGGGGTGGGAAAAAGAGGCTCTCATAGATCCTCTGTGACTTCTGTAGTGGGAGGGAAAATACCCTGTCATACCATCCCACCAAGCCTGCACAATGGGTGAAGACATACAAGTGGCTAAGAAACATGAAAAAATGTTCATTATCAATAATCATCAGAGAAATGCAAATCAAAACTACAATGAGATACCATCTCACATTGTATTATGTGAGTCATAATACAGAATGACTATTATTAAAAAGTCATAAAGCAACAGATGATGGCGAGGCGGCAGACAAAATGGAATGCTTATACACTGTTGGTGGGAATATAAATTAGTTCAGCCACTGTGGAGAGCAGTTTGGAGATTTCTCAAAGAACTTAAAACAGAGCTACCATTCAACCCAGGAATCTCATTACTGGGTATATATTCAAAAGAAAATGAGTCATTATACGAAAAAGACACATGCACGTGCACGTTCCTTGCCATGCTGTTCACAATAGCAAAGACATAGAATAAACATAGGTGCCCATCAATGGTGGACTGGATAAAGAAAATGTGGTACATATACATCATAGAATACTATGCAGCCATAAAAAGAATGAAATCATGTCCTTTCAGCCACATGGATGCAGCTGGAGGCCATTATCCTAAGTGAATTAACAATGGAACAGAAAACCAAATTATGCATGCTCTCATTTAGCTAAACGGACATGCTGGGTACTCAGGGACATAAAGATGGGAACAATAGACATTGGGGCCTGCTAAAGAGAAGGTAGGGAGGGAGGTGGGGCAAGAGTTGAAAAACTAACTGTTGGGTACTATGCTCACTACCTGAGTGATGAGATCATTCATATCCCAAATCCCAACATCCGCAATATACCCAGGTAATAAACCTGCACATGTACCCCCAAATGTAAAATAAAAAGTTGAAAAAGAAAGAGATGCGGAAATTAGCCAAAATAAAATGTTTTCATATTATCTTCTAAATAATAAGAGCACTAACAATGTGCCAGGAACTATGCCAAATATTTCATATACATTATTTCATTTCACCCTACAAGGACCATTTGAGGCAAGTTTTATGTCCTCCATTTAAAGCATGAGGAAACTGAAGCTGAGCAACATAGTTAACTTTGTTTCTACTGATTTGGCCAGGTCACAAAGCTAGTAGGAACAGAGTCAGACTGAAAACGAAGTTTGTCTCTCTCTAAAACTCATGCTGTTAACTACATTAATCAAAACAAGGTATGATGGTTGAGGCCATTTAAACTAGGACAAGGCACAGGCAAGATAAAGACAGGATGAGATTAAACACCCTCTTCAAGACCCAGAAGAGAGAATTACATAAGTTAGAATATTCCAGATTCTCTTCAAACCAGATGCATCTTTTAACTTTTGTTTAGATGAGTATAAGGAGCTCTGCTTAATGGAGGTAGCATCACCCAAGAGTGGAAGATTTAGGAGGCTGTGAGAAGTGCCCAAGTTCATATCCTGTGTTAAAAAGTGAAAATTAGATGGCTGCAGAACTGGGACATTTGATCATTTCTCAGTCCTAGCTTATTGCTCTGCCCCAGCTCTGTGTAGGATTGATAATGAGCACAATGAGAAGTTAGGGGAGGTGGCAGGGCCTGTAGGGCCATGGCATAATACAGCCTTGGGCTAATTTTTGAAACTCTGGATTTAAGGAAAGACTTTTATATAGTATCATGGGAAAAAGTGAACTGAAAAATAACACTAAAAAATTATAGGCTCGTTGTTTACAGAGAAAATGTGTTCTTAAAAATAGATGACTTTTTCTCTTGCTGACATTACCAGGAAAATTTCTCATAATTACATAATTCTATTTGAGGCTGAATTTTGAGATTGATAAAAGAAATGATTAAGACATTATCTGTAAGTTGTTGGATAGAAAAATAATCTTTTTGTGGCATATATTTGTAACAGTAGTTTCAGAAGATCAGTACATGCTTTTTTATTTGTCTCTTATTTGGGTAAGATGAAAAGAATTACTGTCTAACTTTCTGTAAACTAGCTGACCATTAGAGGGGCCAAATATCCTGGTGAGGGAGTGGCAGAGCAGGTCATGGAAGTGGGGGAGGCACTGTCCATGGTATATGGTAGCTCCAGCACAAGAGGGAAAAGACAGGTCTAGGCTCTTGTGCCAGGTCTACCTTTCACTTATGACTTGAGCAATTCATTTCACTCCAAGGAAACTTAGTTTCTTCACCTGTGTAAATGAGGCAGATTAAATGATCCCTAAATAAGAGCATTCCCTTACAACTTTATGAAAAATTCTAGAGTTGATTCAGGGTCTATTTTTCCAATTAGAAAGGGGGTAAAATAGAGAATTTGAACGGAAGGGAATTTAAGCTTATTGTCTTGCCAGATGTAATTACCAAGAAAGGAGTGTTGAACCTTTGTTCATGAAAATGCATTTTATTAATACTTGTGATTTAGATTTTGCCAGGACTCCTTTTCTGAATCGCAGCCAAATAATTTCTCCTGCATGGTTCCTATTCAGCCCTGTTCTGTGTGAGTTCCTAGCACAAGGTGGCCATTATCAGAGGTATGGCAGTAACAAAATATCTTCCTTTGTAACACAAGGGTAAACAAACTCTCCTGACTACCAGCAGTACTGACAATTTCTCCTAGGTTCCAGCACCTGTGAACATAGGTTTCTGGCACCTTGTGGCCTTGCAAGTAGTACTGAGTTAGATGACATGGACCAGAAATCCCATTATCAGAGGGAAGAGGCTGGGAGGCATGCACTACTTGTTCTCAAAAGAGAAATAAGCAGATGAGCGCTATGAGAACACCCTACAATTTTAAACAGGCTAAAATCTCCAGTTCATCATTATTAGTCACTTGGCACTGCTGGGTTTAGTGGCTGTTCTGGGATCATTGCTTATAGAAACAAGATTCTATTGCCTTGGGCACAGCTTAATATCTCCTTGTGAAAGAGATAATAGTTGATGGAAGGATTCTTGGAAACTAATTCTTGAGCGAAACGGAGCACTGAGGTTATATTCTCCAGTAAGGAGGATGAGAGAGCACTGAGGTTATATTCTCCAGTAAGGAGGATGAGAGAGAGAGAGAGAGAGAGAGAGAGAGAGAGAGAGAGAGAGAGACAGAGCACTGAGGTTATATTCTCCAGTAAGGAGGATGAGAGAGAGAGAGAAGAATAAAAAATCAAACAGAGTTAGGAAGAAGCTGGGTGCAGCTGGGAAAAATGGAGGATGGTATCCAGGGAAGAAAAGAAGCAGCAGCACCCTAGTGGTAAGCTTGCTAGAAAATTGAATAGCAGGTTAAAAAGGAAAGGGAAATCATGAATTTAAGAAATGTAGAATTTAGAATTTTAATACTTAATTGGTTTTGAAGTTGTGATGGTTAATTTTATGTGTCAACCCCACTGGGACACAAGGTGGCCAGACATTTGGATAAAATTATTCCTAGTGTGTCTGTGAGGGTGCTTCTGGATGAGTAACATTTGAACTGTTTAGACTGAGTAAAGTAGATTGTCTTTTCTAAATGTGAGTGGGCCCCATTGAATGATTGAAGACCTGAATAGAACAAAAAGGCTGAGTAAGAGGGAAATCCTCCTGCCTGAGTGTTTTGAACTGGGACATTGGTCTTTTCTGGCCTGCAAACTCAAACTGAAACATTGGCTCTTCTTAGGTCTTGAACCTGCTTGTTTTTAGATGGAACTTACACCATTAGCTCTGCTGGGCCTCTAGCTTGCTGACTGCAGATCTTGGGACTTCTTGGCCTTCATAATTGGACAGGCCAATTTCCTATAATAAACCTTTTTATTATAAGACTATCTATCTATCTATCTATCTATCTTCTATCTACTTACCTACCTATCTTATTGGTTCTCTGTCTCTGAAGACCCTGACTAATACAGATTTTGGTAACAAGAAGTGGGGTTCTGCTGTAACAAATACCTACACATGTGGAAGCAGCTTTGAAACTGAATAATGCATAGAGGCCATAAGTGTTTTGGGGTACATGCTAGAAATATGAATGTTAAGGTCAGTTCTGGGAGGTCTCAGTGTTATTGGAAACTAGAAGGAAGATAATTCTTGTTATAAAATGGTAAAGAACTTGACTGAACTATGTTCTGGTGTCTTGTGGAAGGTAGAGCTTGTGAGTGATAAAATTGGATATTTAGCTGAGGACATTTCTAAGCAAAATATTGAAGGAACAGTTTGGTTGCTCAAGACTGCTTATAGTAAAATATGAAAAGTGAGAGAGATTATTTGAAGAGGAATTTTTATGCAGAAAGGAACCAGAACATGTAGATGCAAAATTATCAGCATATCTGTATTGCAAAAATGATAAACTTTTTCTGAAGAGAACACTGAGGGTGTGGCTGAACAACCATTTGATAAAGACAGCCAGGTGTGACTCATGGATATAACCAGCCATCTCAGCAGAAATCAGGAATACAGATGGGATTATACTAGCAAAGATACTGCCAGTTGGAGCTAAAGGAGGCCAGAGAAAGCAGGACAGATTGGAGGAAGGCTGTTGGACTTCTTGGATTTTGTAGGACTAGATCACGGAGGTATTTGGTTGTGAAACTGCACCATTTTTCAAGGAAAGGAAAGAACGACCCCAAAGGGGATTCAGGGATCATCAGAGCTGCCACAACCATGTGGGTAGGACTGGCATTGTGAACTTAAGGCATGGGCGGAGCATCAAACCAAACAGAGTTATTTTTTTCTTTTTTTTTTTATTATTTAAATTTTAAATTATTTCGACTTCACCCAGATTTCAGTATTAGGAGGGTTATTCTTGAGCCTTAAGATGTTAATGAAATTTGCCTTACTAGGTTTTAGACCTGCTTGGGACCCATCACCTTTTTCTTTTTTTTCCTATTTTTTCCTTTTTGAATGGGAATGTCTATTCTATGCCTGTCCCACCACTGCATTTTGGAAGCGCATCATAACTTGTCTGGTTTCACAGGTTCAAAGCTGGAGAGGAATTTTGCCTTAGGACGAACCATATCTCAAGTCTCATTCATACCTAATTTAGATGATATTTAAACCAGACTTTAGTCTTTAGAATTGATGCCGGAATGAGTTGTATTTGGAGATGGGGCCTTTGAGAGATAACTAGGGTTAGATAAGGCCATGAGGGCAAGGTTTCTTATAAGAAGATACACCAGAGAGCTTGTTGGCTTTCTTTCTGCCATATGAGAACACATCGAGAGGGTGGCCATCTGCAAGCTTAGAAGAGAGCCCTCACCAGACAGCAACTGTGCTGGCACTCTGGTCTCAGACTTCCAGCCTCTGGAACTACAAGAAAATAAATTCCTATTGTTGAACCCACCCAGTCTACAAAATTTTGTTATAGTAGCCCAAGCTGACCAATATAGAAATCTAACCAAAAGGCATTTGTTAAGCGCCTATTGCATGCAAAACAACCCTTTATATGGTATATGTACAATCATGGTAGTTAACAAAAATCTTATATAACAAAGGATTTAGGGGAATGACTTTGAGAATGAGAGGCAGTCTGGGACACATAGTTTGCATTGTGATATATTAGAATTTCTGAAACATTTTAGTATTTATTGACATGGGAAGGAATAAAGTCAAGGCTCTCCTAGAAAACCTAGGAGTAGTTCAGAATTTTTGAAGGAATGATCTTGAGTGTGATGGATATACAAAAATAACTAGTTGTTTGCTGTAGAGAGGATTGCAGTTCAGGAAATAAGAAAAAAGTAAATAACTAGTAGATCCACATAAAGGAAAATAGTATGGTAAAAACTTTCAGATTGACCTACACCCACTCCTTTTGCTGCCATTCTACCACCCTCTTGTCTGGCCACTTTATTGCTCTGTTCTATACTGTACCTTGGGGACATCTTGCTGAAGTGCTACAAACAAAAATAGCCTTGTATGATATTTTTGGCTACTGATATTTGGAATATTTTGGATGAGGTAGAAAGAGAAGTGAGCTAGGAACCAGAAGCCCTGGGTTCTGCATTTGCCTACTCCACTTAGCTATGTCTGATCAAGTTCATAATTGTTTCCTCTGTTCTCATCTATAAAATAGTGATTATCATCTCTGTTCTTAGCACCCATTTTTACTTAGATATTGTACACCAGATGTGAATGTAACTTTCTTGAATGAATGTATAAAGGAATGGGCCTTGCATATCATAAAGCGGTGGCTACATATGTATCCCAATTATAAGAAGAATCCCTAGGGTGTTGAGGTAGTGAGAGAAGCTGGTGAATCCAATTTCATCCAATCTCATGCTCTCATTGTAGGTGGGAAACACAGAGGGGTATCGTTGAGATTTCTTCCCTTTTCCTTCTTTTGCCGGCTATTGCATGATGTCTTTCAGCTCCAAAACTTTGTACATACTGTAGACTCTGAAAATATACTTTCTCCCACACTTTACTTAGCAAAGTCTGTTGATTTACCCATCTTAGTTTAGAATGGTGTTTCAAGGAAGTCTACCCTAACTTTCATGCTGGGGTTAGAACCCCCTCTTATGTGCCCCTGCTATGAACTTAAGGTAAGATGCTGGAGCAAGGAGATTCTCTCTCCCTTGATTGAATGTGGATCATCTAGAGGACAAAGATAGCAAATCATAGTAGTTTTCACTTTTCTTGTATCATCCCCAGTTATTGTGTTTGTCATATTGTTCTTTTAGAACATCAGAATTTTAGGCCTCATCCCAGACAGATTGAATGGAAATTATTTGCATTTTAACAATATCTTCAGGTGATTTACATGCACATTATAGTTTAAGCAGCATTGATTTAAAACAAGCGTTGACTTTGTGTTGACTTTTTTTAAAGGTCATTTATTTAGGATTTCTGTTATATGATGGTATACAGTTAATAATACTTAATTCACTGTCCCTCACCTTTTCTCTGAAATACTCATGAAGACACAAAAGATAGGCCAAGCCGCAAGGCCATGGAGACCAGGAATATTTTTTCAATGAATTGATTAACCCCGGTAGAATTTTCCATTAATTAATATGTTACTTGTACATCCCTCTCTCTAATCCAAATTGGAACTTTGTGAAAATCAGAGTGAGGTACTATTTCTTCAATATACTTTACTGTTGTCTAACAGAAATTAAATCTATGATGATTAAAAAATGAATGTGTATTCTGGAGTCATGCAAAAAGTAACCTGGACAATCATAAGAAATGAACCTGGAATGGAGTTCTGAGGCAGAACCACAGAGCCCACTTGTATTCTTCAGAGTCTTGCTGTGTCATTTTCTTTCAGTAATATGCACTCTTTGATACGCTTTTGGGAACAATTTCTGTGGTGGGCAAGATTTTTTTAATCCCCTCTTTGGGTTTCTATTAATGTAATAATAGAAAGTTAGTGAATTTATCATAATTCTATGGGTTGCCTGGGTTTACGTGGAAGATTCTCATGCTGGTCTTACGTAGGGTCTTTCATGAAGTTGTAGGTGATTGATGACTGAGGCTTGAATGTTCAAGGTAGCTTTGCTCTTATGCTAGTGCATTGAGGGGAATAGCGGGAAGGTTGGGTTCAGGTGGGACTCTGGGGGATGGAGCCTCTCTCTCTCCACAAGGTTTCTCCACACAGTTAATCTAACATCTTAGCTGGACTTTTTACGTGGTACTTTAGGGTTACCAAAAGTGTAAATGTGGAAACTTCCAGGCTTTCTTAAAGCTTAAGCCTGGAACTATGTTACTTCTGTAACTTTCTAGTGATTAAAGCAAGTCGTGGGCTGGCCGGAGTCAATGTGTGCGGATTACCCAAGCGCACAAATGGCAGGAAGTGTGTGGCTCACTGAGAGTCATCACTAGTGATTGGTGACCACCATCCTCCCAACCCGTTTTTATATCTGTTTTGAAATCCATTACTAACTTTACAATTTTTAATAAAGCAATAAGAATAAATACAGGTTTGACCCCAGAACAGGGGTCCCAAATTTTGACTGACATATAATTTCTTATCTACTCTCTCGGCTGAGGGGTTAAGCCATATTGACATTATTTAGAAAAATAAAAAATTGCCATTTTCTGCACTCAAGTGTCAAGGAGGAATTTTGTCATTGTTACATAACTTTTGCATCATTTGTTAAGTCAATGGTGGTGTGGTATTAAGGCAGAGGTGTAGATCCAGAGTCAAGAGACTGTCTTGTCATGTCTTCATAATCAAATACTTGTGGTGTCTCCATTAAGTAACTTCACCTTTCTGTGCACTGGTTTCCTCCATACAGAAATGGATGAGATATACTCCGATTTTCTCAGAAAAATTTTTAGCGTATAAATGCTCAATTTTTAAAAGATTGATGTACTCTTAAAACAATATTATTTGTTGGTTTTAATAGTAGTAATATTTAACAAAGCCAAATAGCTCAAGAATAAAAAACATACCCTTTGCATTTGAAATAAATACTTGATGTTAGGGCTAGCTCTGGCAGATAGTAGGTATTCAGGTATTCAGTGAATAAATGATTGTAAGCTATTTAAAAGGGTAAATATTCTAACATTGTTTATGTTGTCTCTTCTTAATATGCTTTCTTTCTGTAGCAAAGAGATGGATGAGAGTAACTCTTATTCTATAATTTATTTATTTATTTATTTGAGACGGAGTCTCGCTCTGTCGCCCAGGCTGGAGTGCAGTGGCGCAATCTCGGCTCACTGCAAGCTCCGCCTCCCGGGTTCACGCCATTCTCCTGCCTCAGCCTCCCGAGTAGCTGGGACTACAGGCGCCCGCCACCACGCTTGGCTAATTTTTTGTATTTTTAGTAGAGACAGGGGTCTCACCGTGTTAGCCAGGATGGTCTCAATCTCCTGACCTTGTGATCCGCCCACCTCGGCCTCCCAAAGTGCTGGGATTACAGGCATGAGCCACCTCGCCCAGCCACCCTTATTCCAAAATTTAGAACATAAGAGTTTAACCTTTTGAACTTATTTAATAATGGAAACCACATACTAATAAGTTATCTTTTTATTAGTAAATTAAAACATTAGTTTTTTTATTAGCTTGTGCTTCAGCTTAATAATGCAGAAGTCATCATATCCATAACTGTGGTAAGTCTTAAGTTAATTCCTTTTAGTTTGGCTTAGGAATCAAAGAATGCTAGTAAGTTTAAGCAAAAAGAATATGATGACATAAAAAGTCTGAAGACTTTAAATAAATTTGAAAGTAACTAAATTCAGAAGAATTCCTTCATCATAACTTTATCATTTTTGGTAAGAAAAATGGGATGGGGTTCTTCGTGCCAGTGCCTTTTTTGAGAGGAGTCTGTGATCAATTGTATTATAGAAATGCTTTTTGGGCCAAGGTATCTGTTTGGCATTCCACTTTCCTTCCAAGTATGTAACAATAGGCTTTTTATTAATTTTTAAAAATTATTGACATAATTCATTTATAGTGTCATTAGAAATTCAAATATCATTAAATTAATATCTTAATTATGCCTTTTTATTCAGATTCCTAAAGAGACTGTTATTTGTGGTGGAGGATGCCTGTGATGATTAATTTTACATGCAAACCCGGCTAGGCCACAGGGTGCCCAGACATTTGAACAAGATTTATCCTAGGTGTGTCTATAAAGTTTATTCTAGGTGTTTCTTTAAAGTTATGGAGGAGATTACAATTTGAATCAGCAGATCGAGGAAAGCTGATTGCCCTACTAATGTGGGTTGGCCTCATCTAATCAGTTGAAGACCTGAGTAGAACAAAATGGCTGAATAAGAGGAAATTTTATCTGCCTGACTGCTGAGCTGGGACATCAGTCTTTTCCTGCTCTCAGACTGGAACTTAAACCATGAGCTCCTGGTTCTCAGGCTTATTTGAACTCATACTGAAAGTACACCACTGGCTTTCCTGGATGTCCAGCTTGCTGACACCAAATCTTATGACTTCTCAGTCTCCATAATTATGTGAGCCAATTCCTTACAATCTCTCTGTGTCTCTCTCTCTTATGATTCCGTTTTTCTGGAGAACCTTGACTAATACTACATCCTTTAGGGCATCTGCCCAGTTCAGTCACTTCCTTTTACTTGGCAACTCTCTTCCAAACTGTACTGATGGGTTCTACCGTCCTTTTGTCTTATGTGACTCCATCTCCTAGCCACAGCTGATGAGTGCAGAAGTGGACATCTGACCTGAGGTGGGCCCTTTGTATTATTTCTCCTGAGTGTTGAAGTGGGGACTGAGATAGAGAGAAAGCAGAGTTTCCTATTTGGCCAGCATTCAACATTTAGACTTGGGAGCTTTGGTTGTACATTTTCTGCCATGTGGTTAAGAAGCGGAGAAAGTTGGTCTGTGAAGAGTAGAGAATGCCACAGATGAGAAAGGAGAAGGGGATCTTGGGAAACCTCCATTCCTAGTCATCTCGCTTCCTGAAGCCTGAGTAATTCTCTGCCCTTGGTTCCTGATCATACTCCTGTAGTGTATGTCCTTCTCACCACCATTTGTTTTATTTTTACTTAGGTTGATGAAGTTAGTTTCTGTCAACCCATGCAACCAACACATTAGCCTGGCACACTTTAACTTCTTTTACTTGTTTGTTAAATAGAATTAAAGAGAAAGTCAACGAAAAGGTCGAGTGGGAACCTGGCCAGGCATAACGAACTGAAAAGGAGCCACAAAATACTCTTTTTTAGAACTTCTTTTTGAGTCAGTTATAGTTTGAAGCCAACACTTTGAAGTATTAGCCTAAAGCACAGCAGCACCTCTTATAGTAAGAAAATAATGCCCAATCCAGTATACATGATTCAACTTGGCTTTGAGATGTTGATTTGATACTGTTAGAAGAGACCACAATTGGACTTCAAAAGTTTGGTTTCTCTGTAAATTGTTTGGCATTGTAAATTCAGGATTAAGGCTTTCTTTCTTCTTTATTAAATTAAAGCATTTTTTATTTGTTGTGAACATAAATTCTCCTAAGGTATGAAAAATACATCAAATACAGTGAGTGAGAAGTAACTGTGATAACTCCCCTTAGGATTAAATAAGGTGTGTGCTCAGTACCTGGCACATAGCAAGGTTTCCACAAATGTTAACTATTATTTTCACATTTAGAAGAAAACAGTTTGAGACTTTATTTATTTAGTTCTTGCAATCCCACATGACTCTTCCCACACACTACAGTCATATGTTGCTTAACAACAGGCATGCATTCTGAGAAATGCATTGTTAGATGATTTTGTTGTGTGAACATCATAGGGTATTTACGCAAACCTACATGGCATAGCCTACTATACGCCTGGGTTGTATGGCATAGCCTATTGCTCCTAGGCTACAAACTGTATTAAATACTGTAGGCACTTATAAAATTGTAACACAATGGCAAGTGTTTATATATCTAAACATGTTGAAACATAAAAAAAGTACAGTAAAAATACTGTATAAAAGATAAAATATGGTATACCTGTATAGGGCACTTACCATGAGGGACTGGAAGTTGCTCTTGGAGAGTCAGTGAGTGAGTAGTGAGTGAATGCAAGGGTCTAGGACATCTGTACA
This sequence comes from Homo sapiens, assembly GCF_000001405.40. Lineage (NCBI taxonomy): Eukaryota > Metazoa > Chordata > Mammalia > Primates > Hominidae > Homo > Homo sapiens. Next base: position 32,269,802 of record NC_000009.12, on the reverse strand, counting down.
GTACTGTAGACTTTATAAACACTGTACACTTAGGCTACTCTAATTTATAAAAATATTTTTTCTTTGATAATAAATTAACCTTAGCTTACTTTTTTTTTTTTTTTTTTTGTGAGATGGAGTCTCGTTCTGTCGCCAAGCTGGAGTGCAGTGGCAATCTCGGCTCACTGCAACCTCCGACTCCCGGTTTCAAGCAATTCTCCTGCCTCAGCCTCCCGAGTAGCTGGGACTACAGGCACCCACGCCCGGCTAATTTTTGTATTTTTAATAGAGATGGGGTTTCACCGTGTTGGCCAGGATGGTCTCGATTTCCTGACCTCGTGATCCGCCTGCCTCGGCCTCCCAAAGTGCTGGGATTACAGGCATGAGCCGCCACGCCCGGCCTACTTAACTTCTTAATTAATAAACTTTTGACTCTTTTGTAATGATGCTTAGCTTAAAACACAAACACATTGTACAGCTGTATCAAAATATTTTAAAATTTATATCCTTATTCTATAAGCAGTTTTTATTCATAAACTTTTTTTTTTTACTTTTTAAACCTCTTTTTTTTTTTTGTTAAAAGCTAAGACAGAAACATACCCATTAACTAACTTAATAGAATTCAAGACACCTCCCCTTGCCAGGTTTGTGTGGTTGTTGATGATATTTGGGCATCTCAGCACTTAATTTGGTCTTTGGAATAACCCCAAGCACCTGTCTCAAAGGGTAATCTCTATGGCCCAGGAAAGTGGGGAGGAAGAGAAACTAGGAGGGTGTAAAGTTGGACAAGTTAATGACCTATCAGTTTCACTTTTCTTGTCCCCCTGGAAGGTCTTCAGGTGCAAGAACACTCATGGAGCTGTCACCTCCTATGGTAACAATGCCTTCTTCTGGAATATCTCCTGGAGAATCTGCCTGAGGGTGTTTTACAGGCACTTTTTTTTTTATAAGTAGAAAACACTCTAAAATAATGATCAAAAGAATGGTATAGTGAATACATAACCAGCTACATAGTTGCTTATTATCATTACCAAATATTATGTACTGTTCAAAATTATATGTGCTATATTTTTATATGACTGGCAGCACAGTAGGTTTGCTTACACCAGCATCACCATGAACACACAGATAATGCATCGTACAACGTAGGACATAAAAATGTGTCTAAGACATCACTAGGCAATAGGAATTTTTTAGCTCCATCATAGTCTTATGGGACTACCATCGTATATGTGGTCTGTCATTAATCAAAATGTTGTTATGTGGTGCATGACTCTAAGCATTGTTGTATTTTTTTCTGCACTTATCTGCATGGAAAAGTACTGCAATAGATGTGGAGAAATAAAGCACTGGGACTTCTTGTCAATGTCTAAACAAAAGCTTTCCTGTTGTGGAATCTCCAGAGCAGGGCTGTTAAAGGCAAGAACATAAAATAATTCCTTTTAATGGCAAAATGAGAATAGGACTTTGGTGTTCCAACTTCAACAAAAACTTAGAACAGAGGGATTCTCAAATGTTGTGCTTAACCAGTCCCTGTCAGTTCTGCTTTCCTCCAGTTCATTATTGATGATTGTGAATGAAGCTGCTAAAGAGAGGAGGGAAAGGACAATGCAGGCGGAATTCTTATTAAGGTATTTCTATTTTTGGCAAGTCACTACTTGGCTATGTAGAGCAACACATTTATCTGGAGGGCTTTTTTAAAAAAGTGGATGTTGCCTTATAATGAATACGAAATAAAACCAATAGAATCTAGATTAATTTTTAATGAGTAGCAGTTGTGTACTGCATGTAATAATATTGAAATTAATACATAATTAAAGTAGATTTGTACAGAATAGTTCACTCGAGAATTCAGTAGTGGAGAACAAAATTGAGCATCTCCAAATGTGACCCACAGCTCTGTATCCAGATTTTTGAGACATGAAGAGAGATCAGTGTTTCCTTGAGTTAAAGTCACACTTATCAGAGGCATTGAGAGATCTTTGGGAACTTTGACCAGGGCTAAAACCTTCAATGTTTGTTTACAGGAGGTAGCACTGTTTGATAGTTATGAAAAAACTGGCACATGCCTCACCTGTGGCCAGAGCTCTGTTACCATCACAATGATGTTTTTCCTTCTATATTTTCACTGGCTAATGTTTTTCACTTTCATTAAGTCAGGTTGTTGGGTTGAACCTTGTCACTCTGAAAAAGTAAGAAAGCAGTGCAATGAAGTGCCATATTTTAAATATTATTTAAATTTATTGTATTGTAAATGGTATAATGGAATAATGGACACCCCCAAAATGACAATAAAATTATAAGGATAAAATTCCTTGCCCTGCAGCTCTATGGTGATTGCTCTAACAAATGGCTATGCATTTGCTTCTGGAGAGGACACCTCTGTGTAGGGAGAGAGCAGCTGTGGATTTCAGTGGAAAGATGCCCTAGTGAATAGCTATTGTTTTTCTCCACTCAGCATCAGTCTCCTCTTCTTTTGCTATCTGTTCCTCTATTTTCCTCCCACACTCTTGATTCATGCATTTCACATGGGGTTGATCTCATTCTTGGCTTCAAGAGCAGGCTTGATTACAGGCGTGTGCCACCACGCCCACCTAATTTTTGTATTTTTAGTAGAGACGAGGTTTCGCCATGGTCAGGCTGGTCTTGAACTTCTGACCTCAGGTGACCCGCCTGCCTTGGCCTCCCAAAGTGCTGGGATTACAGGCGTGAGCCACCGCACCCAGCCAAAACTTCTTTTTTCTGTGGATGTAGAGCTGAGAAGAAGTGGACCTGGAACTGGAGGCTGTGCTTAAGTGCAAGCCCTCCAGAGAAAGAAAACCAAGACAGAGAAAAACAGACTTTGGGGTAGCTTTCTATAACATCATTTAAATACACAGACAAAGCTGTGCTTGGAACTGATCTGTAACTGGACTTTTCAGCTATATAAGCTAATAAATTCCCCTTTTGCCTAGTCTATTTTGAGTTGGATTTTCTACTACTGCAACTCACAGAATAGTGGCTAACAAAGAACTCTCAGAAGTCTGAGCCTTTTCTCTGGTACTAACTTAATAGAATTCAAGACACCTCCCCTTGCCAGGTTTGTGTGGTTGTTGATGATATTTGGGCATCTCAGCACTTAATTTGGTCTTCGGAATAACCCCAGGCACCTGTCTCCAAGGGTAATCTCTATGGCCCAGGAAAGTGGGGAGGAAGAGAAAGTAGGAGGGTGTAAAGTTGGACGAGTTAATGACCCATCAGTTTCACTTTTCTATGGTGCCCTGTAAGAGATGATTTCTCCAGGGTAGAGCTTCTCAAACTTTAAGGGGTGTACAAATCACCTGAAGATCTTGTTAAAAACGTAGATTATGAATCAGCATGTCTAGGGTGGGGCATATAATTATGCTTTTCTTTTCTTTCTGTTTTTTTTTGAAAGAAAGGCTGGAATGCAGTGGTGTGATCTCAGCTCGCTGCAACCTTGGCCTCTCAGGTTCAAGCGATTCTCCTGCCTCAGCCTCCCAAGTAGCTGGGATTACAGGCGCCTGCCACCGTGGTGGGCTAATTTTTTTTGTATTTTTAGTAGAGACGGGGTTTCACTATGTTGGTCAGGCTGGTCTCAAACTCCTGACCTCGTGGTTCTACTGCTTCGGCCTCCCAAAGTGCTGGGATTACAGGCATGAGCCACTGTGTCTGTCCGTGATTCTGCATTTCTAACAAGCTTCCAGGTGGCCTGGAAGCTACTGGTCTAAGGTCCACAGTCTGAGTAGCAAGGCGCTAGGTATTGCTTGGGTATGGTGTCTGTCTTCTCACTCCTCCTCTGCTTCAATTTAGTCTAGACTAAGACCTCAAACTGAGGGTAGACCTCTTCAGATCATTCTAAATAAGAGATTATCTTTCCATTCTTTCTCCTTTCTTGGCAATGCTGTCATTCTGAAGGTGTTTTTCCCTGGGGCTCATGGGTTTATAACTATGGATGAAGTGTCTAGAAACACTTCCAGTTTCTTGATGACAAATCACCTATTTCTATCTGAAATAACTTATGTAACTTATTTAACTGTAAAATAAAAACTTATTTACTGTAAAATAAAAACTCCTGCTTGCATTCTTGCGTTAATCTTAAAGTTTCCCCAGAATACACAGAACTTATTATAGATGATCAAAGGCCACTTTTGCTCTGACCAAATTGAAACATACAATATGTCTTTCTTTTTCCCTGGGCAACTGTGAGTGTCAATATAGATTTTCCAGACCAACCACTAAGTGGTCCTGGAGGAACCCCAAATCTATATTATAGTTTAGAGAAATGGGTCACAGGTCAGTCCTTTATTTAATCAACATACCAATTCTGAGCATACAAGTTTGTTTTGTTATTTTTAAAGTTTCTTTCTAAAATAACAGGGTAAGTATGATAGGAAGCATTTTATGTCAGTACTAAAAGTGAGGGAAGAATAAAACAGAAGATTTGAATAATTGCTGGAACACATAAGGCAGATGGAAGAGGACTGAAGAAATACAAAGTAGAGGTGAGAACCCTTATCTACAACGCAGACAAAGGAGGCGCCAGTGCAGAAGTGATTGGATGCTTCTAATCTCAAGCTCAGAGATGGCTCTGTGGGAGTTGGGCCAGCGCTTTGCTCTGTGAACTTGGCTGAAACCACCTTTGCAAAGATTATGACAGTGACAGGTATCTGGCATGGCTGACTCCATCTTGCTTCTAGCTTCACAGGCTGGCTGTCCTCACTCTTTCCTGGGTGTAAGCCAAGCTAATCATGGGAGGAATTTAGTTTATAGTTTAACTTTGAAACAAAGATGATAATAGTCCTTCCCTAAAACTGCACCTCTCCTTGTTCAGAGACTGAAACTGCCTTTGTAAGACGAATAAAAGGCCAGGAGATTAGGATTATGGGAGGGGCCTGGATTCTGCTAAAATGTAGGCATGGTTAAATAATATTCAGCCATTCGTTCCTTAGGTTGCTTTCATATAATTCCTTACTGCTCAGGAGTCATGAAGCCGGAGGTCACAAGATTTGTGACTTCTCCAATTGCTCCTGTAGATAATATCACAATTGTAAATGGTAAAATTGGTCTTTTGAGATGTATTTCAGACTTTTGTATTCTGAAGACTGACTGACTCCACCTGGACCCATGACTCATGACTCAGCTGGTACTGTGGCTCCCACCCAGAGGCTGACTCAGCACACACGGACTGTTTTCCACACTCCTACGATTTCATACCCAACAAATTAGCAGCACCCTAGCCCCCTGCCCACGAGGTTATCCATAAAAACCCTAGCCTCTGAGTTCTTGAGGCTGATTTGAGTAATAAATTTTATTTTCCACTTGGCTAGCCCTGCATTACATTAATTAAACTATTTTTTTGGTGCAAAAAAGTGCATTGGCTTTTCTGGGCAGTGGGCAAGATGAGCCCCTTGGTGATTACATGGTTGGCTGGCTGCTTTGGTAGGAGCTGCTCTCTAGAGGTAAAGGGGAGGAACTGCCATGGGGGTGTGTGTTCCAGGGCATGGTTTGCTCTGGGCATTGGATTGTGAGCTGCAGTATTTTTCTCTATCTTCGGAGGTGAAGGTACTTTAGTGGAAAACTAGTAGCAGATACTATATTAAACTAGATGTCTAGGGCAAGTAAAGGCTTTAGAAAATACGGAAGAGACTTGTATATATTTTAATATAATTGGGTTTGGCAAAGAACCTGAAGAACGATTGGAGAGAAAGGGAAAGACAGTGAAGCAGACAATTAGGTAGATGTGGAATAGGAAGTGGGGTGTGTGTGTGTGATGCTATAACATTTATACTTCAGGAATCTGCCTTTAGAATTATTAGAATAAGACACAAGCTTGATTAGTATTCCTACTGGGCCTTTTGTTTAACTTCCAGCAAAAGGCTTTATTTCCCTGAAATATGATTCCAGTATGATGATCATAAGCCTTGCTTAATTTTAAGACATTTCCCTTCACTTATGAAAAAGGGCTCATCGGCAGTCCCTGCCAAAAACTCATTAAAATACATTTTAAGGTCCATTTTAAGGTCATTTTTAGTATTCATTGCAGTGTTAATTAGAAAACTGCAGTTTCCTTTCTTCCTACCAGAAACCCTCTCCAGTAGCGTCTTTGACTGAGTTTGGCATTTTTGCTGACTGCCCTGCTTCCCTGAATTTAACTCTAACAGAATAAATGGCTCTATTTTTGCTTTGCTGTATTTTCTTTAGCTCATAGTTTTGCAGCTTCAATCATTGATAAACCTAAAGCTGTCATTTTTTAATTTATTGAGATGCTCTTCACATTCTCCACAGAGTGAGCTAAGATGCCAATGAAAGTCCTTACTGCAAAAGTGAGATTACAGAAAATAAATTTATATGTTCCAAGTACTAACTTGCATCAAGTTGAGTCCCAGTTTCCTAAAAGTACAAAGGTCTCATATAAATTTAATATATCCTTATTGCTACATCTTTGCAGACATTCATCAAATGTAATTAAGTTACTGCTGTCAATAAAATGCAGAGAGGTAAAATATAGACTTTATTATGTATGTGTGTGAGAGATTCATTGAAGAAGACATGGGAAACCCAGTTTCTGGTTCCGGTTACATGCTTTGTTTTTATAGCAAGATGGAGAGAAATACTAAGCTAGAGTTTACAAAAGTTGGCTAGGTCTCAGAATTACATGGGAGCTCTTTAAAAATACAGCTTTCTGGACTTAACTGAAACCTACTGAGTTAGCCTCTCTAGTGTTAGGGTACAGAAATTTGTATGTGTGTAGAGCACCCCAGAGATTCTGATACAGTTATTCCTCTGAAAATGGTTTGACAGTATCTTTTACTAGGAATAAACAGAAATATTAAAATTAAAATTTTTTATCCGTATTTGTTTAATCCAGGCAAATATATAAAAATAATGCAGGCCTAGCCAGAATCATCTCTTGAGCCTCAGATGGAAGGAGGTGAAGCACTTCGTGCCCATGGGTAAGGGATATAAAGTCAGTGGACAGAGACTGGGGATCCTATCCCGGAACGTGATTAAGGATGAACTGGAATAAAAAGTCCAAGACTAGTCTCTGGAGCTGAGGGATAGTTCTAAGGCAGGGGACACAGTAATGGAGCAGCAATGAGGGGCAGGGGGAAAGAGGACCACCATACTGCATAACTCCAGGAACCATTCACATGATACTTGTACTAGTTATCGATTGCTGTGTAACAAATCACCCCAAATGATTTCTTTGGGGTGCTTAAAAATATTTATTATCTCATAGTTTCCATGGGTCAGATATCTAGGTTTCTCATGTAGTTGTATTCAAGCTGTTGGTTGGTGCTGGAGTCATCTTTGGGCTGAACTAGGGGAGAATCTTCTTCCAAGCTCATTTATGGTGGCTTTTTGTGAGGCCTCAGATGTGCTCTCAAGCTCCCTGATGTGGTTGCTGACGGGCCTTGGTTCCATGCCATGTGGGCTTGCCTGTGGGATGGCCAGGAGTCCTTTTTATATGGCGTCTGGCTTTCTATTGAGTTATGGGGGAGAGGGAGAGAGGGAGAGAGGGAGAGAGGGAGAGAGGGAGAGGGGGAGAGGGGGAGAGGGGGAGAGAGAGAGAGAGAGAGAGAGAGAGAGAGAGAGAGAGAGACTGGGCACAGAAGCCACAGTCTTTTTATAACCTAGTCTCAGAAGTGACATTCTACATGTCATCACTTCTGGGTATTCTATTCACCAGAAGTGCATCACCAAGTCCAGCCCACACTCGACAGGAAGAGTATTAAGCACTTTGAAGGGAGGAATATTAAAGAACTTGTAAACCTATCTTTAAAACCTACACAGTAGCCTGTGTCCCCTGCCTCCTCTAGCTGGGCAGCGCACAACATCCATGTCTGTACATGACAGCCTGGTTGAAAACCAATGGTCAAGAGCAGGAATAGAAGGTGAGACAAACCTGAGTTTACCTGAAGAAATTATGGGTAAGGAGTAGGGATGCGTGTGAAGGAATGGAGCACGGTGGCCAAGGGCCCAGGCTTCAGTTTCAGTGTCTTTATCTGTGTGTAAAGGGAGTATAAACAGGCAGTAATTGTGCCAGCCCTATAAGGTCGCTTCCCACATTAAGTTCTCCAGTGAGCTTTGTTGTTTCTACCACTGCAACACATCTCAGAAGTATCCTTTTTTCTCCATAGCCATGGCCACCTCCTTTTCCCCAATCCTCTACCATCTCTGAATGATAGGAATCTGGATGGCAGTAATGATATTCCCACTAGTTTCCCCACTTCCACTCTTGCTTATCTAAGGTTCATTCCCCTCTCAACAACTGGAATCATCTTTAAAAAGTACACAAATGATCATACCATACTCCAGCTTAAAGTATTCAGTGCTTCCCTGTGGTTTTAAAATAGAATCAAAATTCCTCACCATAAACCATAAAGCCCTGAACCACCCAACTCTCACTTATCTTTCCAGATTTACCTTGAACAATTGTACCCCTGGCATTTTTTCTGCTCATCTAGCAAGCCAGGCTTTTTCCCAGCTCAGGGCTTTTTCCCAGGCCTGTCTGGGATCTCTTCCTCCAGGTCTTTGCATGACTGTCTACTTCAGTTCTTCAGATCTCCCCAGAGTGACTTTCCTGATCACCAGAAATTTTTTATCTCTTCATTTAATTATTTTCTTTCCTTGCACTTACGTGGTCTGTAATTGTCTTGCTATTTTTTGTTTTCTTATTTATTGATGTCTCCACTTGCCTGGAAAGTGTGCTCCATGAGGACAGTGCCCTGTCTATTTGGTTTGTTTGCTGTTATATCCTCAGGGGTTAACCTGATCCCTGGATCATAGGAGACTCTCAAATAGAGTTGCTGAATGAATAAATACATACATGAAAACATATATTAAATGCTTCCCCTAGTTACCCTTTGGCACATATAAGCCCAAATATATATTAGATAATTACATATTGGAAATACAGTTGACCCTTGAACAACATGGATTTGAACTGCATGGGTCCACTTACATGGGGATTTTTTTTTCAACCAAATGTGGATTGACCAAATATACTGAAGGCTGACTTTTCCTATGTGTGGGATCTGCAGGACAGCTATGGGACTTGAGTATGCAGGGATTTGAGTATAAGTGGGCAGTCTTGGAACAAACACCCTGCATAAGCCGAGGGGAGGCTGTACTAACATCTATTTTGCATGACTGGTGAAGCAATAAATTAGGATAGTGTGTGAAAGGCACCAGCTGTAGCCCCTGGTAGGTTAAATCAACCACCATTTGTTAAGCGCCTAGTATTATATTTGTGTAAGGCAGGTGGGGGCGGGGCGGGGGGGTTCGCATATGGCTACTCAACATCTGTATGTTTGGGAGCTCCTAGATATTTAATTGAAGTTTCAAAATTTTCATATTGATATTATTTAGATTTTAAAATCCCACACTACCGAATGTTGTGCTCATGTAGAGAAATGTGAGACAAGGGAGTATATTATTACTCTGGGCACAGTTTGAACCATAAAATATGTCACTAAATAGACCTTAATGTTGGAAGCATCATTAACTCAAGCATTCCATTAGCTTGTGTTTCCTACACTTGACAAAATCAATCTTGTTTGTGTTAGAATATTTTTTCTCCTATAACAGGGATATAAATGAAAACATTTAGATAGTACAGAAAAACCATCAAGAGAAAACAATTCCTTCAATATAAGGGCTGCTACTGGCTTGGGTTTCATTCTGGGTGCTGGGTCTTCCACTGGGACATCCCACATCATGTCTCATGGTACCTCCCTTGGCAGAGAACTTGGCACAGGGAAGCTGCTCAATAAATGCTCCTTAAAGGAAAGTGAATGTGAACTGAAGTCTAGACCAACACCTTATGGGAAGACATTGTTACCTTTGTAGCACAGGATTGATGTGTTAACAAATGGGAGACAAGATACCTAGTCTCAGGAAGTTGATTATTTTTAGTTTCTTCTCTTGCAGGCAGTCTCAGAAAGTTAACTTTCTTTTCCATCTTCTCTAATATTTTCAGCCTCTCTACAGCTCAAACAATCCCTCTGTCGCTCAGCACGATAGAGTGGCCCATAAAGTCTCACACTCCATTTCCTAGAAGACAAATCTAGGGGCTTTTGATTTTATGCATTGTAATATTAATCAAGACATGAAAAAATAGGAGGTAGCATATATAATAAGCATATAAAAATATTTTATAATCTCCTTCTGAAAAAGTAACTAGAATACCTGTTAGACTTCTAACCTATGCCCTTTTTCTTGGGGAAGTGTTCATCAAACCTCCTATTCTTCCAATCTAACTCCTTGTAGAAGGGACCTTCTTTGAGCAGTTACGAAGAGGCAAAATAGATCAGTAGGTGATTCTCATTGTGTGAAGTGGGTGATTTTTATTTCTGAGAATGTTTAGCTTGAATGATTTCCATTTTAATTGAATTTTCGCCCAACCCAGGAAGAGTCATCTTAAACAGTCACCACACTGGATAATGATATGGTCAGTAAAGGGTTGTCTCTGAATAAAAAAGAGACCTCTAAGAGGGAGGGTTTTATGCTATTCTGGTAATTCCCAGCATATTTCCCTGTACTTGTAAGAAAGCAAATTTGACTTGTCAGTCTTTTAAAAATTTCAATTTTGAGAATAAGTTATAATTTAATTCACTTCCATTCATCAATTCACAAACATGCTTTGTGCTAGGATCTTGGGATACAAATTTTAAAAGACATGTTCCAATTTCAAAGATCTTCAAGTAGAATGGGAGAGACAAAGCTGCAAAGAAGCACATGCGTGACAATTCTATGACAGAGGCAGGAGTACAGGGCATGGTTAGTTATAAAGAAGAGAGGAGTTAATTTTTTCTAGGCTGGCAGATACTAGTTAATTGAGTGTCAAGAGATAACATATTAATTATCTATTGCTGGGAAACAAATTACTCCCCAGACTTTGTAGCTTCAATCAACAAAATTTATTATAGTTTCACTGGGTCAGGGGTCTGGGTATGGGGTAGGTGGGTGGTTCTTGCTTAGTTTTTTGGGAGGCTGCAATTAACATGTCAGCTGGGCTGCAGTTATCTTGACTACTTGACCAGGGAGAGATTTGCTCCCAAACTCACTCATTGTTGTTGGTAAGATTCGGTTCCTCATATGCTTTTGGACTGAAGGCCTCAGTTACTTGCTGGCAGTTGGGGCTTCTCTCAGTTTCTGGCCACTTGGGCTTCTGCTTAGAGCAGCTCACAACATGGCAGCTTGCTTCACCCCAGTGAGCAAGGAAGAAGAGGCAGAGAGTGAGTGTGAGCAAGACCAGAGGCATGGTCTTTTGTGATCTAATCTCTAAAGTGGCACCTCATCACTTTTGCCATAGTTCGTTCATTAGAAGCAGGTCACTAAGCTTAGCTTACACACAAGGGAAGGGATTACACAAGGGTATGAATACAAGGAGATGGGGATCGCTGTGCACCCTACTGGAAGCTGACTGCAGATGAGCATTTACCAAGGTAGACTTAGGATGGTGGAAGAGGAGAGGCACATTCAAGGAAGAGAATGCCAGATGAGCTAGCCTTGAAAGTGTGAACAAGGCCTGATTGGAGAATTTCAAATATTTGTCTGGGATGCAGGGTGCAGGGGTAGAATGAAGAGTGGTGATGGTGGTGCTCATAGTAGTGAAGACAGAAAAGGATCTTAGATAAGTAAGAGATAGGTTCAATGAATATAAAGTTACAGTTACACAAGCATAGTAAGTTCTAGAGATCTGCTGTACAACATAGTGCCTACAGTTAATAATATGGTATGTGTACTTAAAAGTTTGTTAAGAGGGTAAATCTCGTGTTAAGTGTTCTTACCACAAAACAGAACAAACACAACAAAACCAAAAAACAAACAAAAAACCCATGGGGACACAAGGAAACCTCTGGAAGTGATGGATGTTTGTTATGATTGTGGTGATGGTGTCATGGATATATGCTTACATCCAAATTCATTGAATTATACATATTAAATATGCACCTTTTTTGTATATTAGTTATACCTCAATAAGGCTATTAAAAAAGGATACAGGTTATGAAGGGCTTTGTAAAGAGAAACAGAGAAAATTAAACTTTACACCGAGGGCCTGGGGAACTATGAAGGAATTTTAAGGAGAGGCATGATCACACATTTACCGTTGGAAGATTACTTTTATGGCAGTGTTGATAAAGAGGTTGTTTATCTTGCTAACAGTTGATCCCATTAGACCCTCATAACCAACATGCCTGTCAGCTTTTCTGGCCTATGGAAGTGAGGAGATTCAGGGCTATGCCATGAGCCGTGATTAATCTGTTGCTTGATTATGGGGCCATGTGTGTTGTGCAAGTTGTGAAATGGCAGAAGAGTAGGCAACTGATCTCTTTTTCTTGCATCAATTTCAGGAAAACTGGAAAAACTTAGATCAGAAGCAGTCGTTCGTTTGTTCCTTAGTGGAATAAAACTTACTTAGCTTTTATAGATTGTTTACTTTAGTTCCATTGAAGGAGAGCCACCCACCATTTCTTTCTTGAAACCTTACTGTTCTATAGTTGGAAAGTTTTGAAAAGGCATATGCTGGTGACCGTCTAGAGATTTAGAATGCTTTCGAAATAGAAGACAATAAAGCAATCATGCCTCAGTTCCTTCATTGTAAAGTGAGGGTCTTGATCATGGTGGTCTCTGAGGCCCCAGAGAGTTCCACATGCTGAAATTTTCTGTAATAGGCATAATTGCTTAGAAATCTACTTGGTTATGGCCGGGCATGATGGCTCATGCCTGTAATCCCAGCACTTTGGGAGGCCAAGGTGGGCGGATCACAAGGTCAGGAGATTGAGACCATCCTGTCTAACACGGTGAAATCCCGTCTCTACTAAAAATACAAAAAATTAGCCAGGCGTGGTGGCCGGCGCCTGTAGTCCCAGCTACTTGAGAGGCTGAGGCAGGAGAAGGGCGTGAACCTGGGAGGTGGAGCTTGCAGTGAGTCAAGATCGCCCCACTGCAATCCAGCCTGGGGGACAGAGCGAGACTCTGTCTCAAAAAAAAAAAAAAAAAAAAAAAAAAAAGGAATCTACTTATTTTACTCCTAAAGATTAATTTTAAGGCAGAGTATATTCTTCCCATTTCAGCCTGACATTAACTCTTTGATGTTTTTGGGTTATAACATTTTAGAAAAAGGCCTTTCTTCTATTATTGTTGAAAAAGAGCTTTCTTACTGTACTATTGCAAAATATTTAGAAAAGCAGTTGCTAAGATAAGATCGGAACTTGTGAAATGCTTTTACTTCCCACTACACTGCTGACAGGCTGAACTCCTTTTTTCTTTTCCAGCAGAAACATTGTCATTTCCGACAGAGAATATATAATGCACGAAAAGATGGACAGCCGAGAGTGATAAAGCACAAGTGGAGGGTCTGTTCCACCTTTGTCAGTCAGCTAGGAAGTAAAAAGAGCCATTCATGCACCTGAGTTTGCCCAGAGTCATCCTGCCCCATCTGCCGCTCATGGAGCAGAGCAATACCCTAGCTATGCAGTGCTGGAGCGAATCCAAACATGTTTCTTTTGAATTGAGATGAGGTCTGTGTGGTTAGATAAAGGGGCTCTCTATTTGCCACCACCTAGAGAAAGTTCTTGAGCTTGACATCATGTGAAGATGGCAAAAGAATTTGTGGGAAATGACTGGACTCTTACTCTGCAATGAGAACTAGGTATTATTTGTTGTACACATTTGCAAAAGGGAAATGTGAGATTCTGTGATCTCTGCAGGTCCTCCTCACTAAAGATGAAGTGAGATCCTCTACCTAGTGCAAAAGGTATATTTGGGGAGCTTTAAATATATTTTTAATAATTTATTTTTAAGCTGGGTTGTTAACACACAGATGTTCATTATATTGTTTATGCTTTTCTATGAAGAAAGCACAGGTAGCAGTGACATTTCTAAACAACTTTGAGATATCAACATATAATAAACACATATTTAAAGTAGGCAATTTGATAAGTTTTGACGTATGTATATACTTGTGAAGTCATTACTGCAATTAAGAAAATGAACATACCCATCAAGCCCAAAATTTTCTTCATGCTCCTTTGTAGTCTATCTCTTCTGTTTCTCCATAACCTGCTAACTTGCTGAAACTATGGATTTCCTTTCTGCCACTGTAAATTAGATTACATTTTCCAGAATTTTATGGAAGTGGAATCATGCAGTATGTACCCTATATTGGCTCACTTCTTTCACTCAGCATATTTTGAGATCCATCAATATTGTTGCATGTAACAATAATTTATTCCTTTTCATTGGTAAGTAATATTCCATTAAAGGGATATGCCACAATTTATTTATTCACCTGCTGATGGACATTAGAGTTGCTTCACAGTTTTGCTTATCATAAATAAAGCTTCTATGAACATTCTTATACAAGTTTTTTTTTTTTTTTTGTGTGTGTGTGTGTGTGTGTGTGTGGATATATTCTTTCATTTCTTTTGGGTAAATACCAAAGAACAGAATGGCTAGATCATATAGTAGGTATATATTTAGTTTTTTAAGAAACAATATAACTATTTCCCAATGTAGCCATACCATTTTGCATTCCTACCAACAGGATTGAGAGTTCCAGTTCCTCCACATTCTCTGCAATGCTTGATACGGTCAGTGTTTTTAGTTTTAGCCATCCTAATAGGTATGTGGTCATATCTGATTTTAACTTGCATTTCTTCAATGAGTAATGACGTTGGACACGCTTCCGTATGCTTATTTGCCATCTATATGTTTTCTCTGGTAAATTTTGTGTTCATTCTTTTGCCCATTTTAAAAACTGGTCTGTTTGTTTGCTTATTGTTTGGTTTTGACAGTTCTTCACATATGCTAGATGCAAGTCTTTATCAGGTATATGTTTTACAAAAATTTCCTTCCAGTTAATGACTTGCCTTTTCATTCTCTTAGGAGTGTCTTTTAATAGTAGAAGTTTTAAATTTGAAGACAAATTTATCATTTTGTTCTTTCATTGATTATGCTTTTGGTGTTGTATCTAAGAAATCTTTGATTAACCCAAGGTCTCCAGGATTTTTTTTTCTTATTTACTTTTTAAAAGTTTTATAATTTTTGGGCTTTGCATTGAGATATATGATCCATTTTGAATTGCTTTTTGGCCTTTTGGCTAAGATCAAGTATAATTCATTTTGAGTTAATTTTTTAATATATGAAGTACAGTTCTAAGAGCATTTTTTTTGCATAGGGATATCCAATTGTTCTTGTACCATTTCTTGAAAAAATTATCTTTTGCCACACATATTTCAATTTTTTCTCCACACCTGAGGCTTGTCTTTTTTTCTGACATTGTCTTTTGTAGTACAAGAGTTTTGAATTTTGATGTAGTCACATTTATCAATTTTTATCATTTATAATTTGTAATTTGGGGGCTGTATCTAAAAAACCTTTGCTGCTTAAAAATATCTTGGCTAGAATTGGATCTCCAACCTTTAACTATCTGCCTATTGTATGATAATCAAACATGCAAATATGGATGGAATATTTTTAGTGTAAGGAATATACTAATATTGTGAAGATACTGTATTATTTCAGAAACTGTAGAGACGCCAGGGGAGTTGCAAGTGGCAAATTAGGAACAGAAGAAACTACAAAACTTTGTTGGGAAGAAAGAGAAAGAAATTGCCAAATGTACCTCTAACTATTTTTGAGAACAGAAGGCTGATAGTGGTGGAGATGAGATGAGGCTTAGCAGCAGGTGCAAATTCATGATGATGACAGTTGATGTTAATATGCTGGGGAGTAGGTGGTGTGTATACTTGTACTTAAAGTGAAAGATCAACCATAGAGTATCAGTGTCCATCATCTCATTCTGTGAACAATTACTGGAAATCATTTTGGCACAGAAAATAAGTTACTCATGTTCCTTCTCTGACACCCAGAAAAAACCCAGCTTGTGATTCATGTGATAATTGGCTTCTCTTCTTCTCACACGCAGGGGACTCTCCTTGGTCAGCATCTTTTCCTGTTCCCAATCTCTGCCACTTCCCTTGGTCTGTGTGGTCAACCTGCACACTCCTTAGTTCCAACAGCTACTTTACCTTTTACCTCATTTAGGTCACTGGATGTGTGCTGGTTCCCTGTACCTTAATACGTATGCCTATACGCAACTATCTCCTCCAACTTTTGCTCCAGTTCCAGACAAAGGAGGAATGATACCCCTTCTCCTTAAATCCAGCATGATCTTCCTTTTTAGTCATTCTCTCTTACTCATATCCTTATTGCTGTCTTTCCACTGTCTTTATTATTTCTTGCAGTAAATCAATATGTTCATGGGTCTTTGTCCTTAAAAAAGTCCTGTGTGGGACCCTGAATCCCCTTTTTGTTGTCTTCCTCTTTTATCCACATTTTTTTCAAAGAGTAATAATGCTATTCCCACTTCTACTATTCCAGCTTTCTTTCTTTCTTTTTTTTTGAGACGGAGTCTCGCCCTGTCGCCCAGGCCGGAGTGCAGTGGCGCCATCTCGGCTCACTGCAAGCTCCACCTCCTGGGTTCACGGCATTCTCCTGCCTCAGCCTCCCGAGTAGCTGGGATTACAGGCGCCCGCCACCATGCCCGGCTAATTTTTTTTGGTATTTTTAGTAGAGATGGGGTTTCACTGTGTTAGCCAGGATGGTCTTGATCTCCTGACCTTGTGATCCGCCCACCTTGGCCTCCCAAAGTGCTGGGATTACAGGCGTGAGCCACCGCGCCCGGCCTCCAGCTTTCTCCTCAATCCACTGCATCCTGGCAGAGGATGCCTTCATCATTCTATTGAGATTGCTTTCCCTCGATCCAATAGCTCTTTCATTGTCATATCTAATGGACATTTTTCAGGTCTATTTTACTTAACTTATGAGTTGCATGTACTTCTTTTTTTTAAACTCTGTACCTTGGATACCATGAAATTTTACTTCCTTGGTTCTTCTGCTTTGCAGACTATTTCTTTATTGTCTGTATGCTCAATAAATTTGCTTTTTTTGGTAACATATTAAGTGACTCATCTAAATGAATGATAAGTATTGTATGCACACTGGACCTATTTCTTGTTTCTTGTCAAGCTTTTAAGTTGGGTACCCAAATGAAAATCTTACTGTTAACTTCTGTTTTTTATTTGAGTATGTCAAATGTTTTAATTTAATCAATTAACTTTTCACTGACATAAGTTTAGTAGAGAAAGCATCCCCTTGGATCTGTTTACCTGTTCTTTTTTTTGCACAAAGCTGAACAGTCATTAAATCTGGGCATGAAAACAGCTAAGTCCAGAGTATTCAACTCACAGGATGGGAATAAAGAGAGCTGTTCTTTAAAAATTAGGCAAACCTTAGAAATCTGTAAATGAAAATTGAAATTTGGAGCCTAGAGGTAGAAAATGTAATTAAAGAGAATATGGAAGCTCTAAGATTTTTTTTTTTTTCTGGGCAGAAGTAAAAAATAAGCCAATCTTATTTGCCTTTTTCTCTACCAGATAAGAAGGCAATACAAAGGCTTAGAAATACAAAGTTGCCTTTGACATTTAAATATGTTTTTGACATACAGTGTAGTAATCCTTGTTGAAGTCAGAAATGTAGTGTGCAGGCATGGAGTTAAGGCTAAATTCCTTATATGTATAATTTCATTGTCATGTTTGGTAGAATAGAGAGAAAACATTAAATGTGAACATATATTCCTGTCCATCAATATTATTATCTTCTTACTGGGTAGAATTAATCTCTTAAAAATCTTGTCTAATTTAAACCACTTTGGGACATTTAAAAAAGTGTCAGTGGTTATTTCATTTGGTCAAAATTTCAAATATATACTTTTTCTTAAGAAAACTATTTAAATGCCTTGAAAAGAAGTCCATGAAGGCTTATGCAGGATAAGACAATAGCATTTATATTTATTCTTTATTTTAGCACAAGAGATTTTGTTTCCTTTCACTTGCTCACATGAAATATAGCTGGTTTATGCCCAATAAACAGCACTAGCCTTCAAAAAGAGAGTGGCAGCATGCCTGACTAATGACAGTTTAAAGCCTCTGATGCACAGGGATCAAATTAAATAAGCCTTCTGTGTTGTCAAGATTTAGAATCTACTGATGCACCGACATTTATTCATCCGCTTTTTATTTAGCTTTGAAGGCTCGCAGGTCAGTTGCGTCTGATTACTCTGGACTCCTTCCAGAACTAGCTGAGGCCAAAGGAACAGGCACAGTTACAATTCCACCAGGTGGCAGTCTTTGACGGAAAAACTTTTGTGTGCAACCACTGGTTGCTATCCTCTCCTCCTCTCCATCCCTTTCTTTTTCTCTTTCTATATTTTCCCCTCTCGTTCCTAGGAAACATTTCATTTTTCTTTATGAATGTATTTAGCATTTATTTACTTTCTTACTGTCATGATCTTCTTTCCATCTCTGGAATAATGAAGGGGATTTCTGAATACAATTGCAGCAGAAGGGACTATTCTCCTTAGTAAAAGCAGATAAATTACATAAAAGGTGACCAAATTAAAAAAAAAAAAGAATCAAATGCTAACCCCCCACCCTGCAAAAGAAAACTACATAAAATAACAGAGACCAAATGCGCTTATAATCTATCCTGTATGCCCTAAAAAAATCCATCCTGCTTTTTTTCCTGGAAAAAAGTGGTTGTTGAACTGACTACATTTGCTTCACGAACTAGTCAACAAAGCTGTCTTCTGGAGCAGACAGCTTAGACAGATCTGAAAACCTCATGTCCACTTTGCTTTTTACCTTGGAAGGATTGTTTATCGACGGGGCATGAAGATGAACAGAGAGGCCTGGTCTGCTCTTCCAGGACTGGATGGTCCCTGCATAGCAGGAGGCAGAGTTGCATAAATCAGTCTTACTAAACCACCAGGCTATGCATAGGTGAGACAGAGTTGACTGAGTCAAATAAATTGTTTTGCTCAGTCCTCACAACTGTACTTTAAATTACAATGATGAGGCCGGGTGCAGTGGCTCACGCCTGTAATCCCAGCACTTTGGGAGGCCGAGGCGGGTGGATCACGAGGTCAGGAGATGGAGACCATCCTGGCTAACACGGTGAAACCCCGTCTCTACTAAAAAAAAAAAAAAAAAAAAAAATCCAAAAAATTAGCCAGGTGTGGTGGCGGCGCCTGTAGTCCCAGCTACTCGGGAGGCTGAGGCAGGAGAATGGTGTGCACCTGGGAGGCGGAGCTTGCAGTGAGCCGCGATCTCACCACTGCACTCCAGCCTGGGCGACAGAGCGAGACTCCCTCTCAAAAAAAAAAAAAAAAAAAAAAAAAAAATTACAAATGATGAAACTAAGAATCATGTGAGCCAGCAACTTGCCAAGGCTATGTGACTGTCATCATCAGAGAAAAGACTCAGACCCAGGTCTATTTCATGCCAAGACCCTAAAGGCTGTCTAGGTTGCCTCCAGTTTAATTATGCCAGACTTTTCTCCCAATTCCTTTCCTTTCCTCCATATTAAGTCCATTCTCCACATTTTCCATATCATTTTCTTATTCTTGTATCCAATTTCTCATCCTCCAGACCTTTACCAGATTCTCATCCTAAGTTACTTGTTTTATGAGTAGCCTGTTCATGACCTCTACCTATTCATTTCCCAGTTGGGGAGTCCTCTTTTCTTCATTAATTTCTATAGGTTTTTAAAAAATATCTTAAGTACATTGCTACCTTGTCATACATATTTCAAATATTTTTTAAAATAACTTCATTAGTCTTCTTCAGTTTGCTTACGGAAACTTTTTTCTATGTAGAATATTTTATGCTTTATAAATTTGAATCTGGTAGTTATTTCTGTGATGATTCCTAGCTTTGTTGTGTTGTTTGCACAAATGTTTTCATCTCAAAATTGCAAAAAATATTTTCCTTTGTTTTCTACTAGGATTTTTGTTTTTGTTTTTTTTTTTTTTTTTTTTGGTCTTTATTGTTTGCTTTGAAATCTTTCAGGCCAAATGTGGTGGCTCACGTCTCTAATCCCAGCACTTTGGGAGGCAGAGGCAGGAGGATTTTTTGGGCCCAAGTTTTCGAGACCAGCCTGGGTAACAAAGATGTAAAAGTTCATTCTTAAAGATATAAGAAGGATAAAATTTTCCTTATAATTATATTTTTATCTTTATTTTCCTTTGTAAGCATTTTAAAAATAGATAGGACAAAGGTAAATTTAATGCACTTCCAAACTGAATTATGAAAAATAAGAGTACCAAAGACTCAATATATAGTCTAATATAAAGACTATAATATAAATACAAATACAAAATTTACAAGTATGTCTATATGTATCTTCCAAGCTCAATACACTTAGAAATGCTTCACTCATTTCCATAAGGTATCTAGCTATGATAACTTTTAAACTCTACCTACCCATTTTTAGTTGCCTTTTTTTGAAGGATGATGGGTGGATACTGACATACTCGCTGACTTTCCTGCTCCACTCTTTCTTGTGACAATGGCCTAGATTTCCTAGTATTTGGAATGCAGTGTGTTGCTTTGAATCCTGCCCAAGCTCACTCTCCTAAACTAATCTCAGATGTTTCAGGCTCATTAACTCTACACTCTTAACAAGTTAAGTTCATTTGAGTTACATTTGTTAATTTACTGTGTTAGGGAATTACTCACAATGTGTGTGGCTATGCACTAGTGGTCTGAGGGAAAGATCATTGTTTATTATCTGAGAGTCATTTCACCAAGGGGAAAATTTTGACTTCATCAGTTTTACCCATAATACCAGAATATCAGCTTTCTATACTTCCTGCATCCAGAAACAAGTTTTGAATAAAATAAAATTATCAAAGTAGTAGAGAAAACCAGTTTATCCAGGAGATCTAGTATTAAGATATGGATATTACAGCATATAAATTATGACATGATTGTTTTGAACAAAAGCAGTCATCAAATCAACATCTCTTTTGATTCAAACAGAATTACTTTTCAAACTTTGCAGGCTACAAATTGTACTTGTGTTTTAAGAATCAGATACTTAACCAAAAAGCTGAAACATACATAAAATAAAAGAACGTTTCAAGACTGCTTTAAGAAATCATGTCTTTGTTGGAGTAAGTTTTGAAAGTGGCCTGGTTTTTGTTTTAAGACAAATACCTAAATTTTATTTTAAAATCTGGCCTCATACAGAATTTGAGTTCTGACCCAGTGGTTAATTTTGAGCATGACCTGAGATCATATAGAATGTTTTGAGCTATAGAATCTGGTATTTTTCTCTTAGCTTTCAAAGAAGAGTATTTTTCTCTGTGTTTGCCTCTCTCTCTCTCTTTCTCACACACACACACACACACACACACACACACCCCCTCAGAACTGTTTTAGATTCTCTGCAATACACACTCAAACTGGAGAAAATCAAACTTCCTTTAGTTTTCAGCAATGTCCAAGTGGAAAACAAAGAAATATAGTAGATAAAGGCGCTCAACTTAAACTTTGAACCTTGGGCGACTGTAGCCAAGTACTGAGCATTCTCTGTGAGCACTTAAAAAACTTTTGACACATCAAAGAGCCAGTATTTCTGTCTGCAAGCTTGGGAAATGGAACTATATGAATTCAGGGATTCACTGAATCAGGGAAAATTGTATATTGAGGAAGGGGGAAAATAGGATGATCTGGACCAGAACAGAATTATTTACAAAATCAATGAAAAATCCTCAACCCTAAATATTTTCCCATTTTTAAAGAAAGGAGTCAATAGAAGCTAACACCAAAATCACATTGTGTATTACATACAGTTCATGGTTTACATAATTGTACTTAAGTTAACTTTGGTAAATTGTCAAATTTAATCCATTTTATGGAACCACTTAACACCTTATACATTCTTTGTTACTATGAAATTCCTAGTAGAATAATTTCTTCATATATTGGAGATAAATGGCAGAACTTGCTAGAATCTTCCTGGTAATATTACTGAAGATTCTAGTAGGCAGAGCACGTCAGTAGCATCCCCAGACAATGGCTTCTACTTAAGACCTGTTGCTTGAGTTAATTAAGAAGAAGAATTTCATAGCACTGCAAGCACTGACAGAGACTTCAGATCTCATCTCTAGCGAAATCCTCCTATTTTAAGGAATTCGAAGTCAGGATAGGAAATGACTTGTCCAAGGCCACTAAGGGAACATTGCAGGGCTAGGACTGGAATACAGATCTCCAGACCCCACTCCTGGGCTCACCATCACCTGCTTCCTGATTTCACCAAATTTCCTTGTTCTGGCAAGGAAGAAAGCTCTCTTAGTCTGTTTCTGGGACAAAAATTTTTTTCTTGCCACTTGCAACACTTTAGAGAATAGAAACATAACAAAATCATTGTTTTGCATTAATACTTCCATTTCTAGCCATCTCGGCAATCAATCAGAACTTTTATCTTCTTGTCTGAAGAGACAAGGACATTTAATTCACAACAATTTCCTTTCCCTTTCTCTCAGTGACTCTATTGAATAAAACATGATGGATCACACTCTGCATTTGCATGCCAGCTAAAACAGGGCCAAGGCTCTGCTAGAACAGGGAGGATCCTGTCCTTGCCTAAGCGTGACAGAGGTGAAATGGAGGTTAGCACTGGGAAATGCTCAAATTACACACACGTGAGCATTTCTCACTTAAAGAAGGGCTCCAATAAACAGCCAGAATGAAAACTGGAAGCTATGATAAAAATTAATAAATAAATTCCAATAAACAAAGAGCATAGTCTTGCCTAATTAAGGCTAGTTTTTAATAACACTTGGATCTTAGCAGAACTGGGCATAATCAGGTCACGTACTCATGTTTCTATACTGATTCTTTGAGTTAATTCTCTCCTTCACATAACAATTAGAATAGAGATTTTTTTGAATCTGCATTTGGAGAGACTGTTCATCTTTCCTCCTCTTCAGAGAGCCCAGGGTGCTTGTCTTGCACGTGTTTTAGAGCAACTCAACATATCTTGCAATATTTTGCATATGGAGACATTGATCATACTGCTGATAAGGACCATGAAGGAATTGCCTAGTCTAGCCACCTGGTTTTAAGGAGACAGAAGATCACATTTCTACTTCTACATTCTCTTCCACAGAGAGTCTATGGTTTGCTTCGGATTAAGGATAAATAGCGAGGTGTTGACTTGAATGCAGGTCTTCTGCCTCTTAGTAACAATAATGTTTTCATCCATCCATCCATTCATTCAGGAGATCCTATTTTGTGCTGGAAATGTAAAGATAAACAAGATGCAGTATCTTCCTGCAAAATGTTTATGCACTGTGGGGGATTATAAACAAATAAGCAATAATAATAGTGTGATAGTAGCATGATAGAATGGACATGCGATTCTGTGGGAGCACATAGGAGAGGTTCATAATGCAATGTGAGGGTTAAGGAAAGCTTTCTAGAGAAAGTAGATTCAAGCTGCAACCTGAAGAATGGAGAGGAGTTAGTTTAATGAAGGAGCTGGGAAACCAGGCAGAGGGGTGAGAAAGCCTGGCTCATTAAAGTTAAAAAAAAAAAGTGCCATTTATGCACAGGATGGCTATACCATTGACAATGGGGAGAGAAGAAGCCAGAAAGAAATTGTTTAACATAAGTCATGTTAAAGATTTTTGGATTTGCTATATATTGCAATAGGAAACCACTGAATTATTGTCAGAACAAGAATAATAAAAATAAGTTAAGCAATAATTACCCATTAAAATAATTAAAAATAATTCAAAATAATTATTTTTAATGATAAAAATAAGTTACATAATAGTTACTAAGCTAGGTTGTGGAGGATGGATTATATAAAATCAAGAGAAGCTTGGGACAGACACAACTTCATCTGCAAATTTTTTAGCCACATTTGATCAGAAGGGAACATATTCAAGAAAGGAGCAAATGTTAGAAATTCTACTGACTTGGTAATCAAACTCTGTCATCTTTTCAAGTTTCAAAAATAGGATTCTCTATACTACATTTCCCAGAGGGGCAAGATCATGTCATTTGGCATGACCAACTTATCACATCTGGCCTTGTAGATATCTCATTTCTTGTATCAGGGAATCTACAACTCCTTCTAAGTCATATTCCCCCTACGTGCTGGCTGGTCATTACAGCTCTGGTAGCAATACTCACAGCTCTATCAATAAGCTGCATCATGCCAGGTTTCCCAGGAGAATACTATCTCTTGAGGTCTTAGTTTATAAGCTCTTGAATACTCAGAGATTCATCTAGTAGCACAGAACTTTTTCCTTCTTTGAAATTTACTACTGTTCCATTCTTGACTCATTGTCCCTGATTTTAATTGTCTGTTCACTGGGGGAGGAGGCACTATGCCATCCCATGGTCATGAGCCCTCCAATGACTTTTCAAAGAAGTTTAATCAGACTTTTTCAAAGGGGTATGACCCAGTTCCATGGGAGTCTGCCAATCCATCTTAGGACTATTACACTGACTACATCGACATATATGAGAAGTAAATAGTCCTCAGTCATCTCCATGAGTAACAAAGGGAAAATAGGAAACAGTCATCTTGTAAGACTCACTAGCTCCTGCCTCTGAGAGGGCCATCACCTTACTGCGCCTACATCAGGCCCATGTTACTGGAGACCAATAGAGCTCTCAGGAATAATCCTCACAAAAACCAAGGGGCTGTTTGTTTGGCACTGTTCCCTTTATGATCCCATTGTGAGTTTAAATTTAGAGGACAAAGCAGATCACTTCTACAGTCAAGAGGCTGTGGCTCATGACCAGGATGGAGGTGATCGGGAAGGTTTTTGGGGCAGCAGTGACCTCCCTCTCCCATGACTGGCTCTTCTTTTTTTTTTTTTAATTCCAGGCAATTTTTCATATTAAGCAGAAAGCATTAGTTCCTGTCTTCCTATACAGGTGTTTATGCTGAATCTGGGGTTTGTCTGGTCTGAAAACCTCTTATTCCTCTCTATGCCACTTGTCATGGAATCGCCTTGCAAAACATTGACCTGGCATTTTATTGGCCTAGATACCTGGAACTACCCCATAAACTACACTGCTTCTTTAGTTAATATTTCCTGAGTGGAATTCAACTTCTAAAGAAGCAAATGACTCAAAATCTCCATATGCAATTTGCATCTTGCTAACAGTGTCCCCATGCTGATGGTGCAGCGTTGGGGTGGGGGCATTTACCATTTGGGACCCAGAGATGGTGCAGGGCACCAGACTGACAAGGGCCTGTCAAGGTGAAAGTGATGGATAGATTTGCATAAGGGAGGTGGTTATTTTAATAAGGTTTATCTGAGTTAGACTAGAATAATCAGCTGCCTGTCTCCACGGGAGCACCATTTGACATAAATGAAGACAAGGACGATGATCAAATCTGAAAGAATGTTAATTGAAAAGGAGTAGCCAGCTCTGATCTGCAGATTGAGCTTCTTAGGAGGATTGGGGGAAGCCAGAGTGAGTCAAATGATCTTACATAGAGGGATTTTCCCTGGGAGACGCAAACACCATAACTTTATTGACCTCAAATCAGGAAAAGGCCGACATCAGAGCAGCTCAAAGGAGATGAGTTTCCAGGGCATGTATCTCTTAATTGCAGTGTTCATTAAAATGATGTGTTTTTTTTTTCTTTTAGAGCTAGGCAAGCTTTTAAACATCAAAGGATAAGGGAATGAAAGATTGGGCATTAAGTACTTGACTCTTTCATCTTCTAACGAAATACCTCAGACTTTCACTTGAAAGATAAAGAAGTTTTGTTGAGGATTCATTTCTCCATCAATTAATGTGGAAATCAAGAATTAATAAGCATCTGTCTTGGGAGAGCCAACATGTGTTTTGTCTTGATAACTATGAATTACATACCATGCCATCTAAGTCTCTTCAAATCTTATCTCTTTAGACAACTGCAGATCACCACCCTATCTACATTAGTGTTCTCACCATTCTCTGTGAATAATTGCTGGGATATATTTTTCTTCATGATATTTAGGATAAAGTAATATATAATTATTTGTCTGTTTTTCTAATCTGGTTGACTGTCACCTCCAAAAAAGCAGGAATTTTGCTTAATTTACTACTGTCTCTTTCTTAAGCACCTAAAATAGTGCTTGGCACTGTTAAAATGAATAATTGAATATTGTGGGAAAAAATGTTCACATTTCTTTCAAACAAGGTGTATTTACTTTCCTCTTTGTTTGGAAAGCCATTTTATTACAATTTTATTCTTTTATGATAAAACAATAATAACAAAGATATGAAAGTGCCATTAACAATAACCAACAAAAAAGCTAATTATGCTGGTTAAATAGGGAGAAGAAACACAAAAAAATTATTGAGGAAATTTGAAAAAAGGTGTCACAGAAGTGAGCAGCCTAAATATAAATATATTGCAAATACAAGTGGGGTAAACTATGTAAGAGCTACCGTAAATTTCACCATACGACTGGTTTATATAATTCTGTTAGGGTGATCAGCTTTCATGAATGGACTCTATTGTGACTAGCTATGATGCATTTGTTTAAATTGAAGTTTTTTGGAGATAATTATAGATTCACATATAATTATAAAGAAATAATAAAGAGAGATCATGTACGCTCTTTACTCAGCTTCCCCCAATGTTAACATTTTGCACAACTATAGTATAATATCCCAACCAGGTTACTGATAGTGGTACAATCTTATTCAGATTGCTCTAGTTTTACTTGTACTCTGCATCTGTGTGTATTTAGTAATATACAGTTCTATAACATGCGTAGGTTGCTGTATTTGCCACCGTAGTCAAGTAATATGGTTTGGCTCTGCCCCACCCAAATCTTATGTCAAATTGTAATCCCCACATGTTGAAGGAGGGGCCTGGTGGGAGGTGACTGGATCATGGGGGAGGATTTTCCCCTTGCTGTTCTTATGATAGTGAGTTCTCATGAGATCAGGTTGTTTGAAAGTGTATGGCATGTCCCCCTTTGCTCTCTCTCTCCTGCTCTGCCATGGTAAGATGCACTTGCTTCCCCTTTGCCTTCCGCCATGATTGTATGTTTCCTGAGGCCTCCCAGCCATGCTTTCCTGTATAGCCTGCAGAACTGTGAGTCAATTAAACCTCTTCTCTTCATAAATTACCCAGTCTCAGGTAGTTCTTTATAGCAGTGTGAGAATGGACTAATATATTAAGATACTGAGCAATTCCATCACCACTCAAATCCCTCTTGTTGTTTTTTATAGCCACTCACCAACCTCTCAGGTTCCCCTCCACTTAACTCATAGCAACCACTAATCTATTCTTGATCTCTATAATTTTATCATTTCAAAAATGTTATATAAGTGGAATCATATAATCCATTGGGATTGGCTTTTTTTTTAACTTGGCATAATTCACTGGAGATTCATCCAAGATGTCGTGTGTATCGTTAGTCTATACTTTTTTATTCTGAGTAGTATTCCATTGTATGTATGTGCCTCAGTTTGTTTCACTACTCATCAGCTGAAGGACATCTGGACTGTAAACACTTTTTGGCTATTACAAATAAAGCTGCCATGAACATTCATGTATAGGTTTCTATGTGAACATAAATTTTTATTTCTTTTATATTCATGTTTAAGCAAAATACACTTAAAAGGAAAAAAGAGGAATATTAAACATTTCTGCCAAAAATATATTGCCAAAATTGTAGTTGTAAAGGTTTATTGAGCTTTGGACAGCTGTGGAGGAACTCCGTGAGACAGACTGATATCACGTGCCTTCTTTATTTTTTATTTTTTGACTTCAATTTTTATTTTAGATATAGGGGGTACATGTGCAGGTTTGTTAAATGGGTATATTGCTCCCAGATAGTGAGCATAGTACCCAATAGGTAGTTTTTCAAGCCATGCCCACTGCCCTCCCTCCTCTCCTAGTAGCCTGCAGTGTCTATTGTTCCCATATTTATGTCCATGTGTGCTCAATGTTTAGCTTACACTTACAAGTGAAAAAATGTGGTATTTGGTTTTTTGTTCCTGCATTAATTCACTTAGGATTTATGGCCTCTAGCTCCATCCATGTTGCTACAGAGCACATGATCTTGCTCCTTTTTATGTTCTTGTGTAGTATTCCATCGTGCATATGTACCACATTTTCTTTACCCAATCCACCACTGATGGGCACCTGTGTTGATCCCACATCTTTACTATTTGGTTACTGTAGCCTTATAGTATAGTCAAAGTCAAGTAATTTGATGTCTCTTGCTTTGTTCCTTTTGCTTAGGATTGCTTTGGCTATTCGGACTGTTTTTTGGTTCCATATGGATTTTAGAATAGTTTTTACTAATTTGTGAAGAATGATGTTGGTAGTTTGATAGGAATAACACTGAATCTATAAATTGCTCTGAACAGTATGGTCATTTAATTATACAGATTTTTTGCATGGGATGCTTTTCCATTTGTTTGTCTTGTCTTTGATTGCTTTCAGCAGTTATGTAGCTCTCCTTGCAGAGATCTTTCACCTGCTTGCTTAGCTGTGTTTCTAGGTATTTCATTTTCTTTGTGGCTATTGTAAATGAGACTGTGTTCTTGATTTGACTCTTAGACTGTCATGTACCTTCTTATGTGATGCGCTGAGGAAGACATACATCACTTAGGTAGTGTTCCTGCCAAGAACTTATGACCTGAATCTAATCATGAGAAAGATCAGACAAACCCAAATTGAGGAACATTCTTTAAAATAAATGCCGTATAGTCTTCAAAATGTCAAGGAAGATTAAAGGAGACAAAAGGGACATGAAAACTAAATGCAGTGTGTCAACCTAGCTTGCATTCTGAACCAGAAATATCTATTAAAAAACAAGGACATTATTGAGACAACCAGTAAATTTTTAATAAGGTCTTCAATTTGATAATAATATTGTAGCAATGTAAATTCGTTGACATTGATAATTATACTGTGGTTATATACCTTCATGTCCTTTTTGTTTTTGTTTTTGTTTTCTTTTGTTTTTCAGACAGGGTGTCACTCTGTCATCCATGCTGGAGTGCAGTGGCACGATCAAGGCTCACTGTAGCCTCAAACTGCTGGTTTCAGGTGATCCTCCTCTCTGCCTCTTGAGTAACTGGGACCAACTAGCTGCATGCCACCATGCCAGGCGAATATATATATTTTTAATTTGTGGAGATGAGGTATGGCTATGTTGTCCAGGCTGTTCTCAAACTCCTGGGCTCAAGCAATTTTCCAACCTCGGTCTCCCAAATTGTTGGGATTAAGGCATGAGCCACTACACCTGGGCCTACATGTCCTTGTTCTTGAAAAATATTCACTGAAATATGACACCTACAACTTATTCTCATATGGTAAAAAAATTATGTACATATATGGGAAGGGAAAGACCATGATAAAGCAAATGTGGCCAAATTTTAGCAATTTGTGAATCTGGATGAAGTGTATATGGAGTTTTTTTGCAGTATTAATGCAATTTTGCTGCACCAGACTGCAAAGCATTTGAGAAATCAAATGCATCTTACTCATTTGGGATCCTCCACCTGAATACAGTGCCTTGGACATAGTATGGAGCTCAATAAACATTAGCGAAAAGCTGTCAGGCTATGGGGTGACAACTAGTGCTTGTTAAGGGTAGTTGAAAAAGATGCTACTTGAACATCTTGGAATTACATGGAGCTGGTTTTCATGACATGGGCCCTGCTTCCATCTACCAGGACATTTTATATTTGATTTTCACTTAGCAGTCAGAGCTTTCCACAGCATGTTTACAAACTCTTGACTATTCCTGGTTGAAGTCTCAGAATAGACTCTGGACCATGTTTTTCATCCATGTATGTTAGCATAGATTTGGCCATTTTCTTGTTGTATACTTCTTAAAACAATTTATTTTTTTCACTAATATATGTGTATTTGGGGAGTTTAGAAAATATGGGCAAGCATGAAGAAATATGTCCAATCCTGTCTTATTGCAATTACCAGTGAGAACATTTGGGTGTCTATTTTTATGCATAAATGCATGATGCTTATTTAACAAAAATGTGGCCATAATGTGCATGTTGTTTAGTAATCTATTTCCCACAGTTTAGTGTGTTGTTCACATCTTTCCACATAATTACATATTATTTTAAAATTCTATTTTTGATGACTTTGTAATATTCCATGATTATAATGCACAATGGAATCATTTATTTATCCACTCCGTCATTATTGGACATTAAGGTTGCCATCAGTCTTGACATTTTATAAACAATATGGCAATTAACATTATGTAGCTGGATATCATCACTCATCCCATGATTTTCCTTAGATTGCTAGAAGATTTGTAAGATTAATTTCTATGAATATTTCCACAGAGATGCAAAATTGCCCTTCAGAAAAGTTTGAAAATTATTTCGTTCTCTCTCTAGCAATGAATGAGAATGGAGATTTTTCCTCATCTTGCCAACCTTGGCTGCTATTTTTTTGAATCTGTAGGTATTGATCATTTTCTCTTCAATGTAATTGTGGCTTTTTGTCTATTTGTTTTGGATCAGTGGTTCTCACCTCTGGCTGTATGTGGATGTCCTGGTGAGCTTCTAAATAATACTAATGTTTGAGTCTTAGCTCCAACCAATTGAGTTCGTTGCTCCTCTGCAATTCCAATATTCATCCGTGTTTGACAACTATTGTTTGGGGCTTGGATGATAACTGATACAGGAAAAAACTGCTGAGATATTGATTTGGTTCAAAAAATCATAGTAAATCATGACATCACATCAGAAAAAATTTCCCCAATAGACAAACTGGCTGACAAATACTATTTAGTGAGCTCTACAGATAACCAAGACTTACTACATTTCCAGTGACGTTAGTTCAAAGTCAAAACAATGTCTGTCAGTCAGACAGCTGGCCAAATTTGGGCCCACCAATCTGGCTGTGAAGCCCTGAGTTCGCACTTAGGATCAAGAGCTTAATGAGTATCTGAGTTATCAGGAATAAAGGCATGGCTTTTCATAAAAAAAAGAAATCTTGTCCTTTGCAGCAACATGGATGGAGCTCCAGGCCATAATCATAAGCGAATTAACTCAGGAACAGAAAACTAAATACTACATGTTCTCACTTATAAGTGGGAGCTAAACATTAAGCACACATGGACCAAAACATGGGAACAGACACTGTGGACTACTAGCTGGCGAGGTAGGGGGTGATGCATGGGTTAAAAAACTATCTATTGAATACTGTGCTCACTACCTTGGTCCAATATACCTATATAACAAACCTGCACATTTACCCCTGTATCTAAAATAAAAGTTGAAATTAAAAAAATGAGTGAATAGATTAAGTAGTCACCTAAATAAAACAGGTCTATATGTTCATCTGAAAGAAAAAGACAAGGCATCTTGGCAAACTATTTATATATATATATTGTGTGTGTTAATTAAACGTTTTATTGTGAAATAATGGTAGGTTCACATTCAGTTGTGAGATATAATACAGAGAGACCTTGTATATACTTTACCCATTATCCCCCTGGTAATACCTTGCAAAACTATGATACAATAGTTTTGAACAACATTATAATCTGCATGTGGACATTGATACAGTCAAGATAGATACAGAGCATTTCCATCACCACAACAAATCCCCCATGTTGTCCTTTTATAGCCATTTCCCTTCCACTTAAATACCTTCCTTAGCTCCTGTCAATTACTAAGCTAGTCTCCCTTTCTTTGTCACATCAAGAATCTTATAGAATGGAATCATACAGTATATAACTTTTTGGATTTGTTTTCTCACTTAGCAAAATTCTCTGGAGATTCACTCAAATTGTATGCATTGGTAGTTTGTTCCTTTTTATTTCTGTGTAGTATTACATGATATGGATATACCACAGTTTTTAAATCATTTACCCATTGAAGGACATCTGGGTTGTTTCCAGTTTTTTGCAATTACAAATAAAGCTGCAATAAAAATCCATGTAGATTTCTTTTTGTGTAAGCATAAGTCTTCATTTCTCTGGGATAGCAGTGCAGTCCCTGGGTCATATGAACATTGCATGTGCAGTTCTTTTAAGAAACTGCCAAACTGTTTTCCAGAGAGGCTGTACCATTTTATCTTCACACTAGCAATGTATATGTGATCCTGTTTGATACGGTTTAGCTGTGTCCCCACCCAAATATCACCTTGAATTGTAACTCCCACAATTTGCCACGTGTTGTAATAGGGACCTGGTGGGAGGTAACTGAATCATGGGGGCGGGTCTTTTCTGTACTATTCTCATGATAGTGAATAAGTCTCATGAGATCTGATGGTTTTATAAAGAGGAGTTTCCCTGCAAAGTGAAACTTTCTTTCTTTTGTAAATTGCCCAGTCTTGGTAATTTCTTTATCAGCAGCGTGAAAACGAACTAATACACAGTTTCTTCACATTCTCACAAGCATTTGATATTGTCACTATTTTCATTTTAGCTATTCTGATAGGCATACAGTACTCATCACATTCCTAATTTCCTTAATGGCTAATGATGTGAAACATATTTTCATATGTTGGTTTGCCATCTGTATATCTTCTTTGATGAAATGTCTGTGTGTTTTTTTCTTTACTGTTGAGATTTGAGAGTTAATTACATACTTGCCTTTTGTCAAATATGTGGTTTGAAAATATTTTCTCCAAGGTTGTAATTTGTCTTTTTATTCTTTTAATGGAGTCTTTTGCAGAGCAAAAGTTTTTCATGTTGATGGAGTCTAATTCATGAAGCTTTTTTAAAAAATCATGTTTTTAATGTCAAGTATAAGAACCCTTGCCTAGGCCTATAACCTGAAGATTTTTTTCCTATATTTTTCTTAAAATTTTACGTTTTATAATTTACATCTAACTCTATAACCCATTTGGATTAATTTTTGTATATGTTTCTTTTTTTGTTTTGCTTATGGATGTCTAGTTTCTGAACACCATTTATTCAGCAGGCTATCTTCATTGAATTGCTTTTGTACTTTTGTCAAAAACCAGTTGAGCATATTTAAGAGTCTATTTCTGGGTTTTCTGTTCTGTTCTATTGTGCTTATCACTCAGGCAATATCACAGAACTGATTACTGTAGCTATACGATAAATCTTGAAGTTTGGTAGATGATTTTTTACATTTTATTTTTCTCTTTCAAAATTGTTTTACTATTCTAGTTCCTTTTACTTTTCATATAAATTTTAGAATAATCTTCTCTCTATATAAAAGGATATTGCTGGGATTTTGATATAAATTGTGTTAAACCTATACATCAGTTTGAGGAGAATTGATATCTTTATAGATTTAGTCTTTTGATCTGTGAGTACAGTACATCTTTCCATTTATTTAGATCTCTCTCTCTCCTTTCCTCTCTGGCCTTCCTTCCCTCCCTCTCTCCCTTTCTTCCTTCCTTTTCTTTTTTCCTATCCTTTCCTTCACTCTCTCCTTCTTCCTCTTCTTTTTCTTTAGTTTTGCAGTTTTTAGCATACATGTCCTGTACATGTTTTGCTAGATTTGCACCTAAATATTTATTTTTTGAGCAATTATAAATGGTGTTGAATTATTAATTTTGTTCACATGTTCATTGCTAGTATGTAGAAACAGAACTTATTTTGTATGTTTTCTTGTATTCTGTGACCTTGCTGAAGTCATTTATTTTATGAGGTTTTTTTTTTGATAGATTCCTTGCCATTTTCTAAGTTGACAATCATGTAATCTTCAAACACTTTTATTTACTCCTTTGTGATATATGTGTCTTTTGCTTCTTTTTCTTGCCTGTTGCTCTAGCTAGAACTTCCAGTACTATGCTCAACAAAACATCCTTGCATTGTTCCAATCTTCTAGGGAAAGTATTCAATATTAAGTATAATATTAACTGCAGATTGTGTTATAGATACTGTTCATCAAGTTGAAGACATTCTATTTTTTTTTTTTTTTTTTGAGACCGAGTCTCACTCTGTCACCCAGGCTGGAGTGCAGTGGCACGATCTTGGCTCACTGCAGGCTCTGCCTCCCAGGTTCAACCAATTCTCGTGCCTCACCCTCCCAAACAGCTGGGATTACAGGCGTGCACCACCATGCCTAATTTTTGTATTTTTAGTAGAGACGGGGTTTCGGCATGTTGGCCAGTCTTGTCTCGAACTCCTGGCCTAAGTGATCCATTTGTCTCGGCCTCCCAAAGTGCTGGGATTACAGGAGTAAGCCATCACACCTGGTCTCCCCTCTATTCTTAATTTTCTGAAAAAAAAAATTAAAGTCATCGATAGGTGTTGAATTATGTCACTGCTTTTTCTGCATTGATTTTTGTGATTTTTTTTTGTTCTTCTGTAGTCTGCTAATATAATGGGTTACACTGATTGCACTTCATGTATTGAAGCCTTCCAGAAATAATTACCACTTGGTGATGATGTATAACTCTGTTTTGTATATTGATGAATTCTATGTGCTAATATTATGTTGGGCTAGGTATGGTGTGTACCTGTAGTGCCAGCTACTCTGGAGGCTGAAGTGGGAGCATCACTTGACCCTAGAAGTTTGAATTTAGCCTGGGCAATATAGTGAGACCCCACCTTTAAAGAGAAAACCCCAAAACATAATATTATGTTGAAGATTTTTGCATCTATATTAACGAGAGGCATTGGTATTTTACCTTTTTGTACTGTCTTTTTCTGGCTTTGGTATCAGAGTAATACTAGCTTAATTAAATGAATTGGGAAGTGTTCCTTTCTCTTTTATAGAATGTTGTATAATGTATTCCCTTCCCTTTTATTTTCTAGAATTATTATGTAGAATCAATGTTAATTATTATCTAAACATTTGGTAGAATTTTCTGGTGAAAGCATCTGGACCTAAAGATTTCTTCTTGAGGAGTTTTTAAAATTACAAATTCAATTTTCTTAATAGTTATAAGGCTATTCAAAATTTCAATTTCATATTGGATGAATTGTAGTGTGTTAAAGAAAAATTATTCAATGATACTTGTAAAGTGTGGTAAGGAAGACTTTATTCAGGACCACTGTGATGGGTATAGGGACCATTGTAATGGGGTCTTGCAGTTGGGGAGAGACATTGGCTCAACTCTGAATAAGCATAAGCAAGAAGAAATTTATAGCCAAGAAACATTGTGGGGATCAGTGGATGGAAAATTACTAAGAGGAAACATCAGGAGTCAAGGGGATTCTGGCTAAACCAACCTAACAGGATTCTTGCTGAAGGCAAGCCAGTGTGATCAGACATCACTTGGAGGATGGCAGAGGGTGAGGAGCCTGATCACATATGGAACATGGGGGATTCTTTTCAAAACGACTTAGCAGTGTTCTTTGCTAAAATTGGACTTTACAAGGAAGTACACAGATGGGACTAGCAGAAGGTTCGGAAGCCTCACTAAAGCTTGGCCAAGTAAAGAATCTTTGTCAGATGGTTTGTGTTTCTAAAGAAATTTGTCAGTTTTGTCTAAGTTTTCAAATTTATATATGCAGAGTTGTTAGTAGTATTCCTTTTGATGTCTTCAAGTATCCTTTGGATACCTGATAATCATTTGTGTCTTCTCTTTCCTTCTCTCTGTCAGTCTTGCTAGAGGTTTGCTAATTGCATTGACATTTTCAAAATGCTAGCTTTTTGTTTTATTGCTTTTTCTGTACTATTCTTCTGTTTCGATTTAATTGCTTTTTGCTTTTATTTTCATTATTTCCTCTTTATGTTTGCTTTGGGTTTATTTGTTACTTCCTGGTGAAGGTCGAAGGCCAGGATGCCCATATGGTCTTCTTTGACACCATATGTGGAAGTGGAAATGGGAGTGATCACCTCATTACTGGCCAGTGGGAATGAAAGTCTCAGCTCCCTAGTTGGTCTTCTCTGACATAACCTTGGTGGTTGCTGGGGTCCCTTCTTGCAGCCTCCCAAGGATGGAAGTATAAGCTCTTCACTTAGTATTTG
This sequence comes from Homo sapiens, assembly GCF_000001405.40. Lineage (NCBI taxonomy): Eukaryota > Metazoa > Chordata > Mammalia > Primates > Hominidae > Homo > Homo sapiens. The sequence continues at coordinate 32,234,049 of NC_000009.12, read as the reverse complement.
CTGATGAGAGTGGGGTGAATCCACCATTTTTTTCTCTGGTGTTTGGCTGCAACAGAATGGTTATTATCTAAAAATAATTCTAGGCTGCTTTTGACCTGGTCCTTTCACTAATTTTGAGTCGAGTCTTATTTTGGAGCTGTTTTGTGTGACTGTATCTGTTTCCGTGTTGCCAACTTTTTCAGCTTCAAATCTGGAATATCTGAGACAAAAAGAACATCCAGGAAATGCACCACCATATTTCTTTTCCAGTCTCTGTTATCTATTTTTCTACTCTCTACCTCCATGTGTTGAAAATTTTTAGGTCCCACATATAAGTGTGAACATGTGATTCTTGTCTTTTTGTGCCTAGCTTATTTCACTTACAATAATGACCTTCAATTCCATCCATGTTGCTGCAAATGGTGTCATTTTACTCTTTTTAATGGCTGAATATTATTCCATTGTGCAGATATGGCACATTTTATTTATCCATTCATTTGTTGATGAACACTTACGATTCCATCTGGTAGACATTGTGAATAGTGCTGCAATAAACAGGCAAGTGAAGATGTCTTTTTGATATATCGATTTCTTTTTCTCTGGGTAGATACCCAGTAATGGGATTGCTAGATTGAACAGTGATTCTATTTTTAGTTTTTGACAGATCTCCATAGTGTTTTCCATAGTGGTTGTACTAGTTTATGTTCCCACCAAAAGTGTATAAGAGCTTCCTTTTCTGTGCATTCTCACCAACGTCTGTTTTTTGGCTTTTTAACAATAGCTATTCTGACTTGTGTGAGATGAAATCTCACTGTGGTTTTTTTTTTTCCTTTGAGACAGGATCTCTGTTGCCCAGGCTGGAGTGGAGTGGCATGATCTTAGCTCATCACAACTTCTGCCTCCTGAGCTCAAGCCATCCTCCTATCTAGGACCACAGGCATGTGCCACCCACGCTTGGCTAATTTTTTGTAGTTTTTGTAGAGACTCTGTCTCACCATGGTGCCCAGGCTGGTCTCGAACTCCTGAGCTCAAGTGATCTTCCTGCCTTGGCCTCCCGAAGTGCTGGCATTACAGGCGTGAGCCGCTGCACCCAGCCTCACCGTGGTTTTGATTTGCATTTTTCTGGTGATTAGTGATGTTGAGATTTTTTTGTATACCTGTTAGCCTTTGTATGCCTTCTTTTGAGAAATGTTTATTCATGTCCTTTGCCCACTTTTTAATGGAATTATTATTATTATTACTTTTTCTGTTGAGTTGTTTGAATTCCTTGTATTTCTGGATATTAGTCACCTGTCAGAATAGTTTGCAAATATTTTTATCTATTCAACAGGTTGCATCTTCACTGTTTTGATTTTTTTTTTTTTTTTGCTATTCCGAAGCTTGTTAGTTTAATTAAGTCCCATTTGTCTACATTCTGCTTTTGCTGCCTGTGCTTTCGAGGCTTTTTGTTTCTTAGTCATAAATTCTTTCCTTAGACCAATGTCCTGGTCTAAGTTTTTCCTAGGTTTTCTTTGAGTATTTTTATAGTTTCAGGTCTTATATTTAAATATTTAATCCATTTTGAATTGACTTTTGTGCATGGTGAGAGACAGGGGTCCAGTTTAATTCTTCTGTATGTGGCTATACAATTTTCTCAGCACCATATATTAAAGAGGGCATCTGTTCCCCAAGGTACGTTCTTGTTGGCTTTGTTGAAGATCAATTGGCTATAAATATATGGCTTTATTTCTAGGTTCTCTATCCTATTCCATCCATCTATTTGCCCATTTTTATGCCAATATCATGCTGTTTTGGTTACTAGAGCCTTGTGATATATTTTTAAGTCAGATAGTATGATGCTTCCAACTTTATCCTTTTTGCTCAGAATTATTTTGACTGTTTAGACTCTTTTTTGATTGGATATAAATTTTGTTTTTTTCTAATTCTGTGAAGAATAAAAATATTTTGATAGAGAATGTACTGAATCTGTAGATTGTTTTGGGAATTATGCTTATTTTAATGATATTGATTCTTTCAATCCATTAACATGGGATATTTTTCCATTTGTTTGTGTCATCTTCAATTTCTTTCAATAGTGTTTTGGGGTTTTTCTTGTAGAAATCTTTCACTTCCTTGGTTAAATTTATCCTAGGTATTTTATTTTTTTTGTAGCCATTATAAATGAGACTGCCTTCTTAATTTATTTATAAACTAGTTCATTATTGGTGTACAGAAATGCTACTGATTTTTGCACAATGATTTTATAAACTGCAACTCTACTGAACTCATTTAAACAAATCTGAGAGATTTTTTATGGGGTCTTTAGGTTTTTCTAGATATAACATCATATCATCAGCAAAGAGGAACAGCTTGAATTCTTCATTTCAAATTTGGATGTCTTTTATTTATTTCCCTTGCCTGACTTCTCTGGCAATCTCAAAATCCTGATTAAAATTGTTTTCATTACAGAAAATGTCAGGTAGTTTGTTTCATATATTTCAAATAAAATAAATATCTGTCTCTTTGATTATCTCCTCTTACCTGTTATTTTTTTACTTGTAAATGAGACCACAAATTGAGCATCATGTGAGCAAGATATGAAGGTTTTATGGGAGGCATAGCTCTGTTTGTTGGAGCTATCACTGGGGATGGTTACTTTGGGAAATACCAAGGAAGAGATAGGGAAGCAGGAGATTGACATTGTGAGTTCATATGTTAGTGTTATCATCCCTATTTTTCAGCTGTGACCATGGCTTACAGGGGTTAGAATTATTTAAGATGTCAAGGTTGATAGTTAAGCCTATGTCTGTTTACTGATTAGAATTACTTTTGCCATCCTCCCAAATGACCTTCTTCAGGTCATAAGATGATTTATATTAAAGTTTTGCTGTAAGTTAGATACAGTTTATTCTGGAAGGTACACTATAGATAAGACAATATAGTATAGATAAGATCTATAATATATCTCCTGTTAACTTCAGTAACTTTCATATCCACTTTATAAAATAACATCTGATTAAGAAAATGAGGGAGGGGAGGAGCCAAGATGGCCAAATAGGAACAGCTCCAGTCTACAGCTCCCAGCGTGAGAGATGCAGAAGATGGGTGATTTCTGCATTTCCATCTGAGGTACCAGGTTCATCTCACTAGGGAGTGCCAGACAGTGGGCGCAGGACAGTGGGTGCAGCGCACCGTGTGCGAGCCGAAGCAGGGCGAGGCATTGCCTCACTTGGGAAGTGCAAGGGGTCAGGGAGTTCCCTTTCCTAGTCAAAGAAAGGGGTGAAGGACGGCACCTGGAAAATCAGATCACTCCCACCCGAATACTGCGCTTTTCTGACGGGCTTAAAAAACGGCACACCAGGAGATTATATCCCGCACATGGCTCAGAGTGTCCTATGCCCATGGAGTCTCACTGATTGCTAGCACAGCAGTCTGAGATCAAACTGCAAGGCGGCAGCGAGGTTGGGGGAGGGGCGCCCGCCATTGCCCAGGCTTGATTAGGTAAACAAAGCAGCTGGGAAGCTCGAACTGGGTGGAGCCCACCACAGCTCAAGGAGGCCTGCTTACCTCTGTAGGCTCCACCTCTGGGGGCAGGGCACAGACAAACAAAAAGACAGCAGTAACCTCAGCAGACTTAAATGTCCTTGTCTGACAGCTTTGAAGAGAGCAGTGGTTCTCCCAGCATGCAGCTGGAGATCTGAGAACGGGCAGACTGCTTCCTCAAGTGGGTCCCTGACCCCTGACCCCTGAGCAGCCTAACTGGGAGGCACCCCCCAGCAGGGGCAGACTGACACCTCACACGGCTGGGTACTCCAATAGACCTGCAGCTGAGGGTCCTGTCTGTTAGAAGGAAAACTAACAAACAGAAAGGACATCCACACCAAAAACCCATCTGTACATCACCATCATCAAAGACCAAAAGTACATAAAACCACAAAGATGGGGAAAAACAGAGGAGAAAAACTGGAAACTCTAAAAAGCAGAGTGCCTCTCCTCCTCCAAAGGAATGCAGTTCCTCACCAGCAGTGGAACAAAGCTGGATGGAGAATGACTTTGACGAGCTGAGAGAAGAAGGCTTCAGACGATCAAATTACTCTGAGCTACTGGAGGACATTCAAACCAAAGGCAAAGAAGTTGAAAACTTTGAAAAAAATTTAGAATAATGTATAACTAGAATAACCAATACAGAGAAGTGCTTAAAGGAGCTGATGGAGCTGAAAACCAAGGTTCGAGAACTACGTGAAGAATGCAGAAGCCTCAGGAGCCGATGCGATCAACTGGAAGAAAGGGTATCAGTGATGGAAGATGAAATGAATGAAATGAAGCGAGAAGGGAAGTTTAGAGAAAAAAGAATAAAAAGAAACAAGCAAAGCCTCCAAGAAATATGGGACTATGTGAAAAGACCAAATCTACATCTGATTGGTGTACCTGAAAGTGACGGGGAGAATGGAACCAACATGGAAAACACTCTGCAGGATATTATCCAGGAGAACTTCCCCAATCTAGCAAGGCAGGCCAACATTCAGATTCCAGAAATACAGAGAATGCCACAAAGATACTCCTCGAGAAGAGCAACTCCAAGACACATAATTGTCAGATTCACCAAAGTTGAAATGAAGGAAAAAATGTTAAGGGCAGCCAGAGAGAAAGGTCGGGTTACCCTCAAAGGGAAGCCCATCAGACTAACAGCGGATCTCTCGGCAGAAACTCTACAAGCCAGAAGAGAGTGGGGACCAATATTCAACATTCTTAAAGAAAAGACTTTTCAACCCAGAATTTCATATCCAGCCAAACTAAGCTTCATAAGTGAAGGAAAAATAAAACCCTTTACAGACAAGCAAATGCTGAGAAATTTTGTCACCACCAGGCCTGCTCTAAAAGAGCTCCTGAAGGAAGCACTAAACATGGAAAGGAACAACTGGTACCAGCCACTGCAAAATCATGCCAAAATGTAAAGACCATCGAGACTAGGAAGAAACTGCATCAACCAACGAGCAAAATAACCAGCTAACATCATAATGGCAGGATCAAATTCACACATAACAATATTAACTTTAAATGTTAATGGACTAAATGCTCCAATTAAAAGACACAGACTGGCAAATTGGATCAAGAGTCAAGACCCATCAGTGTGCTGTATTCAGGAAACCCATCTCATGCGCAGAGACACACATAGGCTCAAAATAAAGGGATGGAGGAAGATCTACCAAGCAAATGGAAAACAAAAAAAGGCAGGTCTCTGATAAAACACACTTTAAACCAAGAAAGATCAAAAGAGACAAAGAAGGCCATTACATAATGGTAAAGGGATCAATTCAACAAGAAGAGCTAACTATCCTAAATATATATGGACCCAATACAGGAGCACCCAGATTCATAAAGCAAGTCCTGAGTGACCTACAAAGAGACTTAGACTCCCACACATTAATAATGGGAGACTTTAACACCCCACTGTCAACATTAGACAGATCAACGAGACAGAAAGTCAACAAGGATACCCAGGAATTGAACTCAGCTCTGCACCAAGCAGACCTAATAGACATCTACAGAACTCTCCACCCCAAATCAACAGAATATACATTTTTTACAGCACCACACGACACCCATTCCAAAATTGACCACATACTTGGAAGTAAAGCTCTCCTCAGCAAATGTAAAAGAACAGAAATTATAACAAACTCTCTCTCAGACCACAGTGCAATCAAACTAGAACTCAGGATTAAGAATCTCACTCAAAACCGCTCAACTACATGGAAACTGAACAACCTGCTCCTGAATGACTACTGGGTACATAACGAAATGAAGGCAGAAATAAAGATGTTCTTTGAAACCAATGGGAATAAAGACACAACATACCAGAATCTCTGGGACGCATTCAAAGCAGTGTGTAGAGGGAAATTTATAGCACTAAATGCCCACAAGAGAAAGCAGGAAAGATCCAAAATTGACACCCTAACATCACAATTAAAAGAACTAGAAAAGCAAGAGCAAACACATTCAAAAGCTAGCAGAAGGCAAGAAATAACTAAAATCAGAGCAGAACTAAAGGAAATAGAGACACAAAAAACCCTTCAAAAAACTAATGAATCCAGGAGCTGGTTTTTTGAAAGGATCAACAAAACTGATAGACCACTAGCAAGACTAATAAAGAAGAAAAGAGAGAAGAATCAAATAGACGCAATAAAAAATGATAAAGGGGATATCACCACCAATCCCACAGAAATACAAACTACCATCAGAGAATACTACAAACACCTCTATGCAAATAAACTAGAAAATCTAGAAGAAATGGATAAATTCCTCGACACATACACTCTCCCGAGACTAAACCAGGAAGAAGTTGAATCTCTGAATAGACCAAATAACAGGCTCTGAAATTGTGGCAATAATCAATAGCTTACCAACCAAAAAGAGTCCAGGACCAGATGGATTCACAGCTGAATTCTACCAGAGGTACAAGGAGGAACTGGACCATTCCTTCTGAAACTATTCCAATCAATAGAAAAAGAGGGAATCCTCCCTAACTCATTTTATGAGGCCAGCATCATCCTGATACCAAAGCCGGGCAGAGACACAATCAAAAAAGAGAATTTTAGACCAATACCCTTGATGAACATTGATGCAAAAATCCTCAATAAAATACTGGCAAACTGAATCAAGCAGCACATCAAAAAGCTTATCCACCATGATCAAGTGGGCTTCATCCCTGGGATGCAAGGCTGGTTCAATATATGCAAATCAATAAATGTAATCCAGCATATGAACAGAACCAAAGACAAAAACCACATGATTATCTCAAAAGATGCAGAAAAGGCCTTTGACAAAATTCAACAACTGTTCATGCTAAAAACTCTCAATAAATTAGGTATTGATAGGACGTATTTCAAAATAATAAGAGCTATCTATGACAAACCCACAGCCAATATCATACTGAATGGGCAAAAACTGGAAGCATTCCCTTTGAAAACTGGCACAAGACAGGGATGCCCTCTCTCACCACTCCTATTCAACATAGTGTTGGAAGTTCTGGCCAGGGCAATTAGGCAGGAGAAGGAAATAAAGGGTATTCAATTAGGGAAAGAGGAAATCAAATTGTCCCTGTTTGCAGACGACATGATTGTATATCTAGAAAACCCCATTGTCTCAGCCCAAAATCTCCTTAAGCTGATAAGCAACGTCAGCAAAGTCTCAGGATACAAAATCAATGTGCAAAAATCACAAGCATTCTTATACACCAATAACAGACAAACGGAGAGCCAAATCATGAGTGAACTCCCATTCACAATTGCTTCAAAGAGAATAAAATACCTAGGAATCCAACTTACAAGGGATGTCAAGGACCTCTTCAAGGAGAACTACAAACCACTGCTCAAGGAAATAAAAGAGGATACAAACAAATGGAAGAATATTCCATGCTCATGGGTAGGAAGAATCAATATAATGAAAATGGCCATACTGCCCAAGGTAATTTACAGATTCAATGCCATCCCCATCAAGCTACCAATGACTTTCTTCACAGAATTGGAAACAACTACTTTAAAGTTCATATGGAACCAAAAAAGAGCCTGCATCGCCAAGTCAATCCTAAGCCAAAAGAACAAAGCTGGAGGCATCACACTACCTGACTTCAAACTATACTACAAGGCTACAGTAACCAAAACAGCATGGTACTCATACCAAAACAGCAGTGTAGATCAATGGACCAGAACAGAGCCCTCAGAAATAACGCCGCATATCTACAACTATCTGATCTTTGACAAACCTGAGAAAAACAAGCAATGGGGAAAGGATTCCCTATTTAATAAATGGTGCTGGGAAAACTGGCTAGCCATATGTAGAAAGCTGAAACGGATCCCTTCCTTACACCTTATACAAAAATCAATTCAAGATGGATTAAAGACTTAAACGTTAGACCTAAAACCATAAAAACCCTAGAAGAAAACCTAGGCATTATCATTCAGGACATAGGCATGGGCAAGGACTTCATGTCTAAAACACCAAAAGCAATGGGAACAAAAGCCAAAATTGACAGATGGGATCTAATTAAACTAAAGAGCTTCTGCATGGCAAAAGAAACTACCATTAGAGTGAACAGGCAACCTACAAAATGGGAGAAAATTTTCACAACCTACTCATCTGACAAAGGGCTAATATCCAGAATCTACAATGAACTCAAACAAATTTACAAGAAAAATCAAACAACCCCATCAAAAAGTGGGTAAAGGACATGAACAGACACTTCTCAAAAGAAGACATTTATGCAGCCAGAAGACACATGAAAAAATGCTCACCATCACTGGCCATCAGAGAAATGCAAATCAAAACCACAATGAGATACCATCTCACACCAGTTAGAATGGCAATCATTAAAAAGTCAAGAAACAACAGGTGCTAGGGAGGATGTGGAGAAATAGGAACACTTTTACACTGTTGGTGGGACTGTAAACTAGTTCAACCATTGTGGAAGTCAGTGTGGCGATTCCTCAGGGATCTAGAACTAGAAATACCATTTGACCCAGCCATCCCATTACTGGGTATATACCCAAAGGATTATAAATCATGCTGCTATAAAGACACATGCACATGTATGTTTATTGTGGCACTATTCACAATAGCAAAGACTTGGAACCAACCCAAATGTCCAACAATGATAGACTGGATTAAGAAAATGTGGCACATATACACCATGGAATACTATGCAGCCATAAAAAATGATGAGTTCATGTCCTTTGCAGGGACATGGATGAAATTGGAAATCATCATTCTCAGTAAAGTATCGCAAGAACAAAAAACCAAACACCGCATATTCTCACTCATAGGTGGGAATTGAACAATGAGAACACATGGACACAGCAAGGGGAACATCACACTCTGGGGACTGTTGTGGGGTGGGGGGAGGGGGGAGGGATAGCATTGGGAGATATACCTAATGCTAGATGACAAGTTAGTAGGTGCAGCGCACCAGCATGGCACATGTATACATATGTAACTAACCTGCACATTGTGCACATGTACCCTAAAACTTAGAGTATAATAATAATAAATTAAAAAAAAAAGAAAATGTGGCACATATACACCATGGAATACTATGCAGCCATAACAAATGATGAGTTCATGTCCTTTGTAGGGACACGGATGATGCTGGAAACCATCATTCTCAGCAAACTATCGCAAGGACAAAAAACCAAACACCGCATGTTCTCACTCTTAGGAGGGAATTGAACAATGAGAACACATGGACACAGGAAGGGGAACATCACACACCGGGGCCTTTCGTGGGGTGGGGGGAGGGGGGAGGGGGGAAGGATAGCATTAGGAGATATACCTAATGTTAAATGACGAATTAATGGGTGCAGCACACCAACATGGCACATGTATACATATGTAACAAACCTGCACGTTGTGCACATGTACCCTAAAACTTAAAGTATAATAAAAAATAATAACATCTGGCAAATGAAATAAGACAATTCTTTCTCCTGATATTTCATCTTAGGCAACTTGATTCATGACAGAACTTCTAAAGAGGAGTATGTACTAAGAATTTTTGGGGCAAAGAAAAGAATGTCAAAGGAGAAAAATTAAAGAATACAAAAAAACAGTATAGAGAAATTTGTGTCTCAATAAAGCATCAATAGAAGTTCAGCACAAGAAACATTTTAAGCATTAAAAATTAGTCATTATTTTGACAGTCAAATATTATCCAAAGATAAATCTAGCAGATAATGTGAATGGTTAGATCAGGTAATATAACTCTGGCTTAAAATGGAAGTATCGGCTGGGTGCGGTGGCTCATGCTTGTGATCCGAGCACTTTGGGAGGCCGAGGTGGGTGGATCAACTGAGGTCAGGAGTTGGAGACCAGCCTGGCCAACGTGATGAAATCCCGTCTCTACTAAAAAATAGAAAGAATTAGCCAGGCGTGGTGGCGGGGCACCTATAATCCCAGCTACTCGGGAGGCTGAGGCAGGAGAATCGCTTGAACACAGAAGGTGGAGGTTGCAGCAAGCCAAGGTTGTGCCATTGCACTCCAGCCTGGGAAACAAGAGTGAGACTCATCTCAAAAAAAAACCAAAAAAAAAAAAAAAATTGAAGTATCCATATAAAATTCAGAAATTATATGATGTGGGACTAAGTACTATAATTTAGGCTAAAAATACCGTAGTTTTACAAATTAACCTTAATTTTTGAGGCATTATCATAGTATCGTGGGTACACAAGAGAATGCCTTTAAGCTGAAATATTTTCATGTGAAATGCATGATGTATGAAGTTTACCTTCAAATGGTCACCAAAATAAGTCAGTTGGTATCTTTTGTTTCCATGTTCACTTTGCTTTGCTGTCACCTTTTTCATCAGGCACAGAAGTCATAGTGCATAGGGCCCGTAATACTCTTAGGGATCCATGAATTGTTTTAATTGCTTTTAAAATCAGAAGACGAAAATAAATTTCTAGGTCAAAGAAATGTTTTAATATATAATATTAATAGTCTTTATGCCAACACAGTCATGAAATATAATTTTGAATATATTTTTATGGAGGAAGAAGCACATGAAAGTGCCTATGGCTCATGAGAGCAGTAATATTACCTTGGTTGCTGCCATTAGAATTTAAGCTCCCTGATAACAGGGACCAGCAGTCTTGTTCCTGCCTGTGTCCAGGACATTCAACACAGTGCCTGGTATGTGACTTAGTCTCAGTTGGCATTATTTGATTGAATGAAAGGGTGAATGAGTTACTTTGACTTGAGATTTATGAACATTGAACATATTCTTCTATAAAAGTTGTATAAAACACTCTTCTATAAGCTAAGTATACATAATCTTTGGAATACAAAACATTTTTGATTGTCAACATCTCTTTGCCTCTTTGTCACAATGGAAAATCGAGAACTGATTGCACAGGAAGGAGAGAATGGACCAATGATTGAACTGTCACTTGTTGACCATTAACTACATGATAGGCAGTGACTTCCATCCCAGGCACTCTTTTTACACACTGTAAGTCCAATGTGTCTGCCTCAAGGAGGAAAAGACATGACAATTTTATGAATATTGTTCTGTATATAACTTGCATATAACAACAACAACACACAGTAACAACTTAATAGTAATTTATTGGGCACTTATCACATGCCAGACAATGTGCTCAAAAACACTTCACATGAATTATGTCATTTAATCCTTACAACAAACAAGTATCCTATAGAAAAACCAACAATACTGCAATTTATAGATGAGCAAACTGGGGACCAAGAGGTTAGTAACTCCCTCAATATCACACAGAGAGCAAATGGCAGGGCCAAGATGTGAGCACAGGTCACCTGACTCAGAAACATATGTGCCTTTATCTGCCCTGTTCTGCTTCCCACATGTGTCTCAGTTGCTAGTGCCTTGAGCAAGCTGTCTGTGAAACTTGAGAGGCTACTTTTGGCTTTTCAAACAATTTGCACTTGTGTGTGTCCCAATTCTGGATTGAATCTTTCACCCATAACTGTCATGGGTAGTAATGTCTGGAACTCAAGTATCTGAAATCACCTTGTGATAATGCCGAGAAACAGAAATTAATGTGAAACAAAAATTTGTACAGGGCTGAGTGTGGTGGCTCACACCTGTGATACCAGCACTTTGGGAGGCTGAGGTGGGTGGATCACTTGAATTCAGGACTTCAAGACCAGCCTAGCCAACATGGCAAAACTCTGTCTCTAATAAAATATAACACAAAAATTAGCCAGGCATGGTGGCACATGCCTATAGTTCCAGCTACTTGGGAGGCTGAAGTGGGAGAATCACTTGAACCCAGGCGGCAGGGGTTGCAGTGAGCTGAGATTGCACCATTGCACTCCAGCCTGGGCAACACAGTGAGACTCCGTTTCAAAAAAAAATTGTACAGCCCCTTTTGCCACAACCTGATGCCTTAGAGTCTATGCTCTGATATGTAAAACACAATGCAGTGTGGGCTATGTTTTAGAGACCCCAGAGAGGGTGAGCTTTGCTGCAAAATCCCTCATGGACCCATTGGCCTGGCAGTAGCAGACAGTCAGAGAGCTAGACTCAGGTTTTCTCAAACTTAACCTGACTTTCAGCTTTTCTGCCCCCAGGACAGGGAAGAGCCCCAAATTTAGGTCTATTAACCTGAAATCTGTCTGTTGGAGACAGGTAACATCTTTCTTTAAAACCAAACTATCTTAAGGCCAAGGTGGTTGTGGTTTTACTGGCTTGAGCACACCACTGACTAGAAAAAACTAGAAGGTGTCCAAAATCAGAAAGTTTCCCCATAAGCCTAATCTGCTGAGAGAACACACAAAAACAGCTATACTTTAAGGCAAGGTTTATAGAGGACAGTTTCTGCATGATGTCCCCTGTTATGGGCCCTGTGATGGTTAATACTGAGCATCAATTTGACTGGATTGAAGGATACAAAGTATTGATCCTGGGTGTGTCTGTGAGGGTGTTGCCAAAGGAGATTAACATTTGAGTCAGTGGGCTGGGGAGGGCAGACCCACCCTTAATCTGGTGGGCACAATCTAATCAGCTGCCAGCGAATATAAAGCAGGCAGAAAAAGGTGAAAAGGCAAGACCGGCCTAACATCCCAGCCCACATCTTTCTTCCGGGCTGGTTACTTCCTGCCCTCAAACATCAGATTCCAAATTCTTCAGTTTTGAGTCTCTGACTGGCTTTCCTTGCTCCTGAAGCTTGCATATGGCCTATTGTGGGATCTTGTGATCATCTAAGTTAATACTTAATAAACTCCCCTTTATATATAGTGTAGCTATCCTATTAGTTCTGTCCCTCTAGGGAACCCTGACTAATACAGGCCCTCTGAGGAATGGTATTCATATTTTAATCTAAAAGATGGTTAGGTATACAGGGCCTGTGTTTATGCAATGAGTGGATGTATGAATGAATGAGCGAATAAATGAATCCCCCCCTCTGTAGGATTCTTCTTCTCCCTAAGTGACCCTGTATATTTTATCTATACTTTTCTCTTTTTTTTTCTTTTTTTAAATTTAAGTTTTAGATTCAGGGGGCACACATGCAGGTTTATTACAAGGGTATATTGCGTGACGCTGAAGTTTGGGCTTCTATTGATCCCATCACCCAGAGAGTGAACATAGCACCTGACAGGAAGGTTTTCAGCCCTTGGCCCCCTCCCTCTTGCTCTCCTTTTAGAGTCCTGTTGTCTATTGTTCCCATCTTTATATACATTTCTATACAGGGCTTAGCTTCCATTTATTAGTGAGAATATGTGATAATTGGTTTTCTGTTTCTATGTTAATTTGCTTAGGATAATGGCCTCCAGCTGCAATCATGTTGCTGGAAAGGACATGACTTTATTCATTTTTTATGCTGTGTAGTATTACGTGGTATATATATACCACTTTTTTTTTATCCAATCCATTGCTGATGGGCACCTGTGTTGTTTCCATGTCTTTGTTATTGTAAGTAGTGCTGTGATAAGCATGAGTGCAGGTGGCTTTTTGGTAGAATAATTTATTTTTCTTTGGGTATATACCCAATCATGGGATTGCTGGGTCTAATGGTAGTTATATTTTCAGTTCTTTGAGAAATCCTTAAACTTCTTTCCACAGGAGCTGAACTAATTTACATTTCCACCAAGAGTATTATCCATACTTTCCTTATGGTATTTTCTATAGTTTACCTATACTTTCTGGCATTGTTATATACTGGAGAGCCACAAAAGGGCTCACAGTTCAACCAGGAAGGCAAAACAAGATCATAGTTTGTTAATGTAGAATACTACATGGAGAAATAGAGGTATGAAATAAGGGATCTCATCTCCTTGGGTGGCTTTTTAAAAAAAGTATTATATTGCAGAATTTATATTTGAAGAACTATTTGAAGACAAAGTTTAAAGCCTAGGATGATGATATGTTTTTCTAGAGAGCATTTTTTTTTTTAAACTTAATTTGGCTAAGGACTGGAGGAATATCTATTTGGAATGATATTAATTCGGTTTTAGGGATTGCGAGAGTTTGAGGCTGAGCATCTGTATTGCAAGGGCCAGTCTACCTTTGTTTCACCATTACCCCTGGGATACAGCTGCTCCAACCCAATGTGTGAAAGCTTCTGAGCTCCCCACCTTCCCAGAGGGTTCCAAACTCCAACTCTTATCCCCTTAGACTTACAGTATGTTGAAAAGAACTGCCCAGACACTCCTCTTTTCAAGGGCCTCTCCTGAGTCAACCAATGTGACTAAGAATAAGAAACATGAAAATCACTTACGTCCCAGAATTTCCATCTTCTGGACCTCGGCCTGATGATTCTTCAATACATTGTATTTGTGATGTCTTAAAGTAGATTTAAAATTTTTTTTAACTTTCTCTATGTAGGAATATTAGTTCCAGTCATCCACTTTGCTATTACCAGAAGTGCAAACACTGATATGGCTTCTTTTTTGGAAGACCCAAGGTAAAAATAATTATCATAAAAAATGCTATAGCCATTGGTATTTTATAGACAAGATTCTGCTACTTAGCATGATTCTTTCTTGAACTCCGAATACTATCATTTTAGACTAGGGAGAAATATTACTGATCACTTTGTCTTGATGCTTGTTTTACTGAGGATGGGAAAAGGGAAGCGACTTATATAGGAGTGGATAGAGCTAGAATTATTACCAGATCTGAGTATAGTACCCCTCAGCTGTCCACACAATGCACCAATTTAATAAAATAAGGCACTACCATAGAAACCTTCAGTAGTAAGTACGTTTGGCAGAATGATTAAACTTTGCATTTAAAATATTACCTGATATGAGAAAATATATACCTTCTAGAAACACTTTAATACTTCCATGACTGCTGTTTTATAAAGATTTCTTCCTGGAATTTTTTTTTTTTTTTTTGCAGTTTTCCAAGAAATGTCTGCTTCCACAATCCAAAAGATAATCTTAGTGCATAGCCCTTTTAACATTAGTGAGAGCTGCTCCTCTACAAACTTTTCTTTGCAGAGGTTTTCTTTTGACAGTGTTGCTGCTCTTCTTGTTCATATTCTTCTTTTCTCTGGCAGTCAGTTGTCTTTGATTATTCTATATGAACCTCTTCCCTTCACTAGCAACATTTCCTCTCACATCTTTCTTCACTGAAATTTAAATAAATTTCTCAGAACTATAGGGAGAGGGATCTTTATTCTCTAATAAAAACTTATTAAATCAAAAGGATCCATTCAGCCAAATTTCAACAAAAGATAGAAGTTTCTAAACTAAATATTATGATGTATAACTGATGTGTCATATGTATCAGAAATATAATTAAATTGCATGTTATTTAGTGACTTCATCATTATATCTGCATAAGTGAAGATTACTCAGTTGCTTTTAACCACATTTGGTTTATAAACTGCCATGCCAAAAAATTTACTTCTATGCTTCAATTTCTGTAAAATGGTTAAAACTCCAGAGAAAGATGAAGATTATAAAGCCTACATATAGGATTATAGGATTATTTATAGCATAAATCTTGGTTTCTGGTACTTCTGACTTCAAAGCTTTGCATAGATTACAGAGGAATACTGCTGTTAATCATTCTCTCTGAGAACACTAGAGAACTGTCTTTTAGAATAGCATTTGTCTTAATTATTGTAAATCTTCTCTTATAAAAAGTAGAAACAATCATTATTGTAGTTTCTCAGAGATTTGGTAAGTATATAAAATCAGATCAAAGGGAGAAAAATAGCAAACTCTTATGGCTATGGCATGACAGAACTGGAAAGTCCCTTGGAAACAATCAGGCTAATGCTATTAGTTTGATTTCCTCTTTTTGTAGATGAGTAAACTGTGAAGTTTCAGAGGATGGTGTGCCTTACTGCTGGTAATGCTCACTGTTCAAAGACTACCAGAAAGACTTGTAGTGAAAAGAATTTGGGTTACTTGATGTAACAAGGAAGACTGATCCCATCAGCACATGTGGCATGTCTCAATAAGAGTGTGGTGGGAGGACTCCTTATATAATTTGGCTTCATGTTAGATGATTTGAGGGAAGATTTAAGGAGGCAGGTGTTTGCCATGAATTGCTTACTGTCAAGAAATGTAAGTAATTCTATGACTGAGGATCAACAGTTTTTCTACAGGAGGCAGAAGAAACAAAATAGGGGGGTGGAGCCAAGATGGCCAAATAGAAACAGCTCCAGTCTACAGCTCCCAGCGTGAGCGACGCAGAAGACGGGTGATTTCTGCCTTTCCAACTGAGGTACCGGGCTCATCTCACTGGGGAGTGTTGGACAGTGGGTGCAGGACAGTGGGTGCAGCACACCGAGCGTGAGCCAAAGCAGGGCGAGGCATCGCCTCACATGG
This sequence comes from Homo sapiens, assembly GCF_000001405.40. NCBI lineage: Eukaryota > Metazoa > Chordata > Mammalia > Primates > Hominidae > Homo > Homo sapiens. The sequence continues at coordinate 32,217,777 of NC_000009.12, read as the reverse complement.
GAAGTGCAAGGGGTCAGTGAATTCCCTTTCCTAGTCATAGAAAGGGGTGACAGACGGCACCTGGAAAATCAGGTCACTCCCACCCTAATACTGCATTTTTCCAATGGTCTTAGCAAACGGCACACCAGAAGATTATATCCCGTCCCTGGTTTGGAGCATCCTACGCCCACAGAGCCTCGCTCATTGCTAGCACAGCAGTCTGAGATCAAACTGCAAGGTGGCAGCGAGGATGGGGGAGGGGTGCCCGCCAATGCCGAGGCTTGAGTAGGTAAACAAAGCAGCCCGGAAGCTCGAACTGGGTGGAGCCCACTGCAGCTCAAGGAGGCCTGCCTGCCTCTGTAGACTCCACCTCTGGTGGCAGGGCACAGCCAAACAAAAGGCAGCAGAAACCTCTGCAGACTTAAATGTCCCTGTCTGACAGCTTTTAAGAGAGTAGTGGTTCTCCCAGCATGCAGCTGGAGATCTGAGAACGGACAGATTGCCTCCTCAAGTGGGTCACTGACCCCCGAGTAGCCTAACTGGGAGGCACACCCCAGTAGGGGCAGACTGACACCTCACACGGCCGGGTACTCCTCTGAGACAAAACTTCCAGAGGAACGATCAGGAAGCAACATTTGCTGTTCAGCAATATGCGCCGTTCTGCAGCCTCTGCTACTGATACCCAGGCAAACAGGGTCTGGAGTGGACCTCCAGCAAACTCCAACAGACCTGCAGCTGAGGGTCCTGACTGTTAGAAGGAAAACTAACAAACAGAAGGGACATCCACACCAAAACCCCACCTGTACATCACCATCATCAAAGACCAAAGGTAGATAAAACCACAAAGATGGGGAAAAAACAGAGCAGAAAAACTGGAAACTCTAAAAATCAGAGTGCCTCTCCTCCTCCAAAGGAACGCAGCTCCTCACCAGCAATGGAACAAAGCTGGACGGAGGATGACTTTGACGAGTTGAGAGAAGAAGGCTTCAGACGATCAAACTACTCCGAGCTAAAGGAGGAAGTTCGAACCCATGGCAAAGAAGTTAAAAACCTTGAAAAAAAATTAGACAAATGGCTAACTAGGATAACCAATGCAGAGAAGTCCTTAAAGGACGTGATGGAGCTGAAAACCACGGCATGAGAACTATGTGACAAATGCACAAGCCTCAGTAGCTGATTTGATCAACTGGAAGAAAGGGTATCCATGACGCAAGATGAAATGAATGAAATGAAGTGAGAAGAGAAGTTTGGAGAAAAAAGAATAAAAAGAAATGAACATAGCCTCCAAGAAATATGGGACTATGTGAAAAGACCAAATCTACATGTGATTGGTGTACCTGAAAGTGACGGGGAGAATGGAACCAAGTTGGAAAACACTCTGCAGGATATTATCCAGGAGAACTTTCCCAATCTAGCAAGGCAAGCCAACATTCAAATTCAGGAAACACAGGAATGCCACAAAGATACTCCCTGAGAAGAGCAACTCCAAGACACATAATTGTCAGATTCACCAAAGTTGAAAAGAAGGAAAAAATGTTAAGGGCAGCCAGAGAGAAAGGTCAAGTTACCAACAAAGGGAAGCCCATCAGACTAACAGCGGATCTCTCGGCAGAAACTCTACAAGCCAGGAGAGAGTGGGGGCCAATATTCAACATTCTTAAAGAAAAGAATTCTCAATCCAGAATTTCATATCCAGTCAAACTAAGCTGGATACTAAGTGAAGGAGACATAAAATCCTTTACAGACAAGCAAACGCTGAGAGATTTTGTCACCACCAGGCATGCGCTAAAAGAGCTCCTGAAGGAAGCACTAAACATGGAAAGGAACAACCAGTACCAGCCACTGCAAAAACATGCCAAATTGTAAAGACCATCGAGGCTAGGAAGAAACTGCATCAACTAACGAGCAAAATAACCAGCTAACATCATAACAACGGGATCAAATTCACATATAATAATATTAACCTTAAATGTAAATGGGCTAAATGCTCCAATTAAAAGACACAGACTGGCAAATTGGATAAAGAGTCAAGACTCATCAGTGTGCTGTATTCAGGAAACCCATCTCATGTGCAGAGACACACACAGGCTCAAAATAAAGGGTTGGAGGAAGATCTACCAAGCAAATGGAAAACAAAAAATGGCAGGGGTTGCAATCCTAGTCTCTAATAAAACAGACTTTAAACCAAGAAAGACCAAAAGAGACAAAGAAGGCCATTACATAATGGTAAAGGGATCAATTCAACAAGAAGAGCTAACTATCCTAAATATATATGCATCCAATACAGGAGCACCCAGATTCATAAAGCAAGTACTTAGAGACCTACAAAGAGACTTAGACTCCCACACAATAATCGGAGACTTTAACATCCCACTGTCAACATTAGACAGATCAACGAGACAGAAAGTTAAGAAGGATATACAGGAACTGAACTCAGCTCTGCACCAAGCAGACCTAATAGACATCTACAGAACTCTCCACCCCAAATCAACAGAATATACATTCTTTTCAGCACCACACCACACCTATTTCAAAATTGACCACATAGTTGGAAGCAAAGCACTCCTCAGCAAATATAAAAGAACAGAAATTATAACAAACTGTCTCTCAGACCACAGTGCAATCAAACTAGAACTCAGGATTAAGAAACTCACTCAAAACCACTCAACTACATGGAAACTGAGCAACCTGCTCCTGAATGACTACTGGGTACATAACGAAATGAAGGCAGAAATAAAGATGTTCTTTGAAACCAACGAGAACAAAGAAACAACATACCAGAATCTCTGGGACACATTCAAAGCAGTATGTAGAGGGAAATTTATAGCACTGAACGCTCACAAGAGAAAGCAGAAAAGATCTAAAATTGACTCCCTAACATCACAATTCAAAGAACTAGAGAAGCAAGAGCAAACACATTCAAAAGCTAGCAGAAGGCAAGAAATAACCAAGATCAGACCAGAACTGAAGGAAATAGACACACAAAAGACCCTTCAAAAAAATCAGTGAATCCAGGAGCTGGTTTTTTGAAAAGATTAACAAAATTGATAGACTGCTAGCAAGACTAATAAGGAAGAAAAGAGAGAAAAATCAAATAGATGCAATAAAAAATGATAAAGGGGATATCACCACTGATCCCACAGAAATACAAACTACCATCAGAGAATACTATAAGCACCTCTATGCAAATAAACTAGAAAATCTAGAAGAAAGGGATAAATTCCTTGACACATACACCCTCCCAAGACTAAACCAGGAAGAAGTTGAATCTCTGAAGAGACCAATAACAGGCTCTGAAATTGAGGCAATAATTAATAGTTTACCAACAAAAAAAAGTCCAGGACCAGACAGATTCACAGCCAAATTCTACCAGAGGTACAAGGAGGAACTGGTACCATTCTTTCTGAAACTATTCCAATCAATAGAAAAAGAGAGAATCCTTCCTAACTCATTTTATGAGGCCAGCATCATCCTGATACCAAAGCCGGGCAGGGACACAATAAAAAAGAGAATTTTAGACCAATATCCCTGATAAACATTGATGCAAAAATCCTCAATAAAATACTGGCAAACCGAATCCAGCAGCACATCAAAAAGCTTATCCACCATGATCAAGTGGGCTTCATCCCTGGGATGCAAGGCTGGTTCAACATACACAAATCAATAAATGTAATCCAGCATATAAACAGAACCAAAGACAAAAACCACGTGATTATCTCAATAGATGCAGAAAAGGCCTTTGACAAAATTCAACAACCCTTCATGCTAAAAACTCTCAATAAATTAGGTATTGATGGGACGTATCTCAAAATAATAAGAGCTATCTATGACAAACCGACAGCCAATATCATACTGAAAGGGCAAAAACTGGAAGCATTCCCTTTGAAAACTGGCACAAGACAGGGATGCCCTCTCTCACCACTCCTATTCAACACAGTGTTGGAAGTTCTGGCCAGGGCAATCAGGCAGGAGAAGGAAATAAAGGGTATTCAATTAGGAAAAGAGGAAGTCAAATTGTTCCTGGTTGCAGATGACATGATTTTATATCTAGAAAACACCATCGTCTCAGTCCAAAATCTCCTTAAGCTGATAGGCAACTTCAGCAAAGTCTCAAGATACAAAATCAATGTGCAAAAATCCCAAGCATTCTTACACACCAAGAACAGACAAACAGAGAGCCAAATCATGAATGAACTCCCATTCACAATTGCTTCAAAGAGAATAAAATACCTAGGAATCCAACTTGCAAGGGATGTGAAGGATGTCTTCAAGGAGAACTACAAACCACTGCTCAATGAAAGAAAAGAGGATACAAACAAATGGAAGAACATTCCATGCTCATGGGTAGGAAGAATCAATATCATGAAAATGGCCATACTGCCCAAGGTAATTTATAGATTCAATGCCATCCCCATCAAGCTACCAATGACTTTCTTCACAGAATTGGAAACAACTACTTTAAAGTTCATATGGAACCAAAAAAGAGCCTGCATTGCCAAGACAATCCTAAACCAAAGAACAAAGCTGGAGGCATCACCCTACCTGACTTCAAACTATACTACAAGGCTATGGTAACCAAAACAACATGGTACTGGTACCAAAACAGAGATATAGACCAATGGAACAGAACAGAGCCCTCAGAAATAATGCCACATATCTACAACCATCTGATCTTTGACGAACCTGACAAAAACAAGAAATGAGGAAAGGATTCCCTATTTAATAAATGGTGCTGGGAAAACTGGCTAGCCATATGTAGAAAGCTGAAACTGGATCCCTTCCTTACATCTTATACAAAAATTCATTCAAGATGGATTAAAGACTCAAATGTTAGACCTAACACCATAAAAACCCTAGAAGAAAACCTAGGCAATACCATTCAGGACATAGGCATGGGCAAGGACTTCATGTCTAAAACACCAAAAGCAATGGCAACAAAAGCCAAAATTGACAAATGGGATCTAATTAAACTAAAGTGCTTCTGCACAGCAAAAGAAACTATCATCAGAGTGAACAGGCAACCTACAGAATGGGAGAAAATTTTTGCAATCTACTCATCTGACAAAGGGCTAATATCCAGAATCTACAATGAACTCAAACAAATTTACAAGAAAAAAACAAACAACCCCATCAAAAAGTGGGCGAAGGACATGAACAGACACTTCTCAAAAGAAGACATTTATGCAGCCAAAAGACACATGAAAAAGTGCTCATCATCACTGGCCATCAGAGAAATGCAAATCAAAACCACAATGAGATACCATCTCACACCAGTTAGAATGGCGATCATTAAAAAGTCAGGAAACAACAGGTGCTGGAGAGGATGTGGAGAAATAGGAACATTTTATACCATTGGTGGGACTGTAAACTAGTTCAACCATTGTGGAAGTCAGTGTGGCGATTCCTCAGGGATCTAGAACTAGAAATACCATTTGACCCAGCTATCCCATTACTGGGTATATACCCAAAGGATTATAAATCATGCTGCTATAAAGACACATGCACATGTATGTTTATTGTGGCACTATTCACAATAGCAAAGACTTGGAACCAACCCAAATGTCCAACAATGATAGACTGGATTAAGAAAATGTGGCACATATACACCATGGAATACTATGCAGCCATAAAAAATGATGAGTTCATGTCCTTTGTAGGGACATGGATGAAGCTGGAAACCATCATTCTCAGCAAACTATTGCAAGGACAAAAAACCAAACACCACATGTTCTCACTAATAGGTGGGAATTGAACAATGAGAACACATGGACACAGGAAAGGGAACATCACACACTGGGGCCTGTTGTGGGGTGGGGGGAGGCGGGAGGAATAGCATTAGGAGATATACCTAATGTTAAATGATGAGTTAATGGGTGCAGCACACCAACATGGCACATGTATACATATGTAACAAACCTGCACGTTGTGCACATGTACCCTAAAACTTAAAGTATAATAATAAAAAGAAAAAGAAACAAAATGGGGCTAAAGCTGTAACTGCCAAGAATCAGGCACTTGTGATAGTTGGAAGAAGAAGGTGTTCATGAATTCCTATCATTTCTGTATGTCCAAATAGTCTCAGAAATAAATTCTTAACATTATTATTTCTGTCAGAAATAAATTCTATTAACTTTTTGGTGTACTTATTTTTTTGATATACATTGGTTTTTAAAACATTTATTATTGATAAATGATCATGTACATATTTTTTGGATACATGTAATAATTTAATGCATTCACATAATTTGTAAAGATCAAATCAGTGTAATTTGAATAGCCATTATCTTAAATATTTATCTTTTTGCTAAAAGCATGTGAATAATTCTCTTCTAGCTATTTTGAAATATATAATAGATTATTTTAAACTGTAGTCAGCCTGCTGATCTATCCAATACAGGTCTTATTTTTTCTATCAAACTTTATATTTGTACCATTAATCACATTCTCTTCATCCCCCACCTCACTCCCCTTCCTGGCCTCTGGTAACCACAAATCTACTCTCCTTCTTCATGAGATCCCCTTTATTATCATGAGCAGGAAAAGTAGGAGCGAAAATGTGGGTGCCAAGGCAGAGGTGCCTCCGGTTGTAGGGTTTTAGGGGTAAGGCCAGTGATGGGGCGAAAGCCACAATGGGAATTTGGAGACCCTGTGAAATTAGGGTAGAATGAAAGAAGGGGGGAATGAAGGAGAAGAAGACAGAGACAAGATCCACTTTCATCAATAATCTGAATGGGATGTTCTGGATAACTTGCTGCAGCTTCTATATCATCACTTGCTGCTTCACCTTGCACTTTCATGTTATAGAGACAATTCATGAATCAAATATCTGCTACCTTCAAACATTTCAGAATACAAGGAATTAAAAGAAAATGTCTGCAAGTGTCAAGACATAAAGAGTACATGTACATAATATGGAGTAACTGGAAAGATGTTGATCCTTTCATCAGCAATGTAAAGAAGCTGGATGACAGTAAAGAATACCTTCCAAATTTTAACTGAAATCAATTTTCTAACCTGATAAGCTATTAATCAAGCATGAGGAAGGAATACAAATATTTTAAGAGAGAACATCTCAAAAATGTTACATCCTATGCACTTTATTTTAGCAAGCCACTGCTTATGTGCGCCTACAAAAACTAGGAAGAAAGAAAATACAAGGTAAATGAAAATATTGGATCTAGAAAATTGGGTTCCAAGACAGAAGAGCAGAAAACCAAAGTTCTTGTATGACAGCTGTTAAGCAGGACTAAGAAACAAAATGCTCCCTATTGGACTAGTAGGAAGGAGTGCTGTAGGAGGGAGGCCACCAGAATAAGATGCAAATCGTTATTCAGTGGTTATGGCCATGTATTAAACAGGCTTGAGAGACTATAAGTAACAAGCATGTAAGTTAAAAAAAAAAGTTATTGATTGCAGGTAAATTCAAATGTACAGGAAAGAAAACATCATCAAAGAATATAAATTGGCACAACAGTGAACAACAGTTACAAAGTCATAATAATGTAAATACTGAACACTGATTTAACCAAAAGTATACAATTATGAAATGATGGTTGGATCAAAGTGGGAGTTATTGTGAAAGCCAAATAATCATCCATAATAAGAATTAAATTAAATATCTAAAATTAATAAGCTAGGAAGTATTGATGAAAACATTATTTACATATATCAAAGCCAATAAATAGTGAAATAGCTAAAGGGTTAATTGCTACTTCTGAGAGGTAAGACTTGTGGAAAAAGAATGTAGGAAAAAGAGAGCTCTGGTTTATTTTTTTCCTGTAAGAATTCAGGACTATTTTACTCCTAAAATAATGTTCAAGTCTTATTCTGAAAATATAAAACTAACTAAAAAGTTGCAAATGACTCTCCCACAAGTGTATTATGGGAGCTTGTTTTAAAATTTGCAAGTAAGCATAACACAGATTCTAGTTTAAAAAACAAATTTTATGAGTACTTCTGGTTCTGAACAGGATAGAGTAGACACACTTCTTCCTATTCTGCCTGCCAGATAAGGTAAAACCCTGGTCTACAAAATCAAGATTCATAAAATAAAAGAACAATAAATAGTACTTTGTAAAAATTAAAAGTTAAAATGTTAAACTTCATGCAAAGTTTTTCCATGTGAAGAACTTTGTGAAGGGGATTAAAAGCCAACCTACAGATTAGGAAAAATATTTACTAGCCACATTTCTGAGTTATCATATCTAAATATGTAAAGAACTTTCAAACTCAACAGTAAACTACCAAACAATCTGTATTAGTCCATTCTCACATTGCTATAAAGAACTACCTGAGACTGGGTAATTTATGAAGAAAAGAGGTTTAATTGACTCACAGTTCCACAGGCTGTACAGGAAGCATGACTGGCAGGCCTCAGGAAACTTACGGTGGAAGGTTGAAGGAGAAGCAAGCACCTTTTTCACGTGGCAGAGAGGGGAGAGAGAGCAAAAGGGGAAGTGCTACACACTTTCAAACAACCAGATCTCATGAGAACTCACTGTCATGAGAACAGCAAGGGGGAAATCTGCCCCGATGATCCAATCACCTCCCACCAGCTCCCTTCCCCAACATTGGAGATTACAATTCAACATGAGATTTGGGTGGGGACACAGAGAATTGCTACAGGAATCTATACATAACATGGCATAGAAATACACATACACATTGTGCCATGTCAATTTACTGATATTACTGTTCTATATTTATGGAAGATATAATATTTGGGGGAACTGGGTAAAGGATCTCTCTGTACTGGCTTTGCATTTTCTTATGATCTTAATGTAATTAATAATGATCTTATAATCTGAAATTATTTCAAAATAAAAAAGAGAATCTGACCCATAGTTGGTGAGAACAACATCTTGATCATAAAGACTCTTTGGAGTTGGGTAGAGACATCTTTAATGCCTCCTCTTTCATCTATTAGTTATCACCTTGTAAAAATTGCCTTATTCTCCTGAGCTTCAATGTCTTTATATGTACAACAGCAATGGTACTATTACCTTAGTGGACTAAGCAAAAAATCAAATAGAATTAAATAGCAGTGTGTGAAAATGTCTGTCAAATGACAGGGCTTTAATACATGTTAGTATCTTTAGATGAGTGCTGTTAATTATGTGCCATTAATTTTTCCAGGAGGATCCAAAGGACTGTAATTTTTCTGCAGCTTCAAAAAAAAAAAAAGTAAAATAGATGGCAATTTATCCTGAAACCTTATAGGTTATTTTAATTTAAAATAGATTTAACTTTTCTAATCCGGAGCTTTTGGAATATCAAGTCAATACTGGCAAATTGCTAATATTACCAATTCTTAAAATGTAGTCAAATAATTTTTGCGTGTTATTTAAGCTTAGGGAACAAACCACAAACACAGAGTATATTTTTCCTCTCCCTTGATTTTAAAGGAGTTATCAAGAAATAATACCTACCTTGGTTAGTAAGGTTTTGCTTTTTCCTTTTATGCTCCTATTCTGCAGTATATGTCTGTCCCTTATAACTCTCAAGTAGAAAGTATCAAGGATAATTTCTCTGTCCAATGTTTCACTTCAACTCTTTCCTTGAAAAATTTTCACAAGGTTTGTATTTACAAAAGATATTTATAAAGATTATTTGGGGTTGCATGAAAGAATACAATTCTAGGAAAATAATGAAATAAAATATATAGATGAAATAAGATTAGAAATTAATACTTCTATCATTGCTTTCAAATAAAATATTCATGTATGTTAAATTTATGAATAAAATCATACACATTTTCCAGAAGCTTTAGTTTTACCTCTCAATGTGTCTTATAAGAATGAAATATGGAAAAGAGTTTTAGATTTCAGAAGACAAATTGCCTAAAGGAAAATGATATTCAGAGATTAAGTACTACAAATTGCATTCGTTACAACATAAAGTCTCTTTCTTTTATTCTATAATCAATGAATTGTATTTGTTCGTTTTCACTGTGCTGTAAAGATCCTACCTGAGACTGGGTAATTTATGAACTAAAAACTTTAATTGACTCACAGTTCTGCATGGCTGGGGAAGCCTCAGGAAACTTACAATTATGGCACAGGGTGAAGGGGAAGCAAGGCACGTCTTACATGGCAGCAGGAGGGAGAGGGAGAGCGTGACTGAAGGGGAAGTGGCACACTTTTAAACGATCAGATCTCATGAGAACTCACTATCTTGAGAACAGCATGGGGGAAACTACCTCCATAATCCAATTGCCTCCCACCGTGTCCCCCTTGACATGTGGAGATTACAATTCAAGATGAGATTTGGGTGGGGACATAGAGCCAAACCATATCAGGAATGTTCTGTGGGCACAAGTGTCAGTTGCAGGGCTCTGAGGGCTCTGAGGAAAGACTTGGGAGTACTCACTAGAAAGTAAAAGTGGGGAGACATCTGTATTATTCTTCCAAAGTCAGAAATGCTGGATGAAATACACAACAGGAAACATTAATGTAAAGTCAACCTCACAAGGAAGAAAGAGAAATCCTGTTTCCAGACACTGAGAGGAACTCAAGCCAGAGCAACAAGCCCAGGCTAAACCCTGATGGATGGTGGGACTGTGGAAGAATGCTGAAGATTTAGGCAAGGTAGATATTGAACTGCTTCAAAGAGTATCTCCCATGGAGGAGAAAAATTTCCCACTAAAGATGAACTTTTTGTCAAAAATTATCAATTTCTTGAGGAAACAACCACCCTGAGAAAGTCCACAGAGGTAACAAGTGGATGTTTAAACAGCCTAGGAATTTCCAACAATGAGCAATCTGTAAAAGACTTTAACAAAACTATGTTTAAAGAATAATGAGATGAAAAAGAATAGAAACTGTAAGGTTGCAAAAAGGGAAAGTTTACATGAAAAGAACCAAGCAGAGGCCGGGTGTGGTGGCTCATGCCTATAATCCCAGTGCTTTGGTAGGCCAAAAGGGCAGATCACTAGGTCAGGTGTTCAAGAGCAGCCTGGCCAATATGGTGAAACCCTGTCTCTACTAAAAATATAGAAATCAGTCGGGTGTGGTGGTGGGCACCTGTAATCCCAGCTACTTGGGAGGCTGAGGCAGGAGAATTGCTTGGACCCAGGAGGTGGAGGTTGCAGTGAGCCGAGATCACACCACTGCACTCCAGCCTGGGTGACAGAGCAAGACTCTGTCTCAACAACAACAACAACAACAAAAGAACCAAGCAGAAATTGTAGAAATAAAGAGATAAATGAACGACTTTACATTTAAAAGTAACAACAAAAACAATAATACATTTGAGAGTTTAAAAGCAAGATGGAACCAAAATGTAGATGCTACTAGTAGGAATAATGTGGGGAGGAGTCTAAAATAAGTCCTAATATAGTCACAATTAAACATAAATAAACAATAGAAAACAAGCTCAATTACTATCATTTGGGTAACAGGACATGTTGTGTATTTATACAACAGAATACTACTGAGCAGTTAAAAATTATTAAGTAGCAAATATAGATAGATTTCAAAAGCACCATATTAAGAATGAAAGCAAGTTGTAATATAATGCATATTGCCTGATACCATTCATGTTATTTTGATAAACCAATAATATAATACAGTAAGCCCATGGATATATAATAAGTAGTTAAAACATAAAATCATGGAGTGAAAAAATACATTCAAACATCGGGTTAACAGTTGCTTTTGGAAAGAGAATGAAGAAAAATCAAACTTGGCCTATTTTCAATAGGGACTCTAACTGCATATGCAATGTTTTATTTATTTATTTTAAAAAACAAAAGCAAAAACAATACAGTGTTTATACTCCTAGAATATAGGTATAGGTGTTTGTTATGGTACTTTCTGTACTTTTTGATATGTTTACATTTTTTCAAAATTAAAAATAGGGAGAAAAATAAAAGAGATGAAAAACTGAACAAATTTCAGCTGAACATGGGGTTTACCAAATCTAATATTCTCTTTGCTTCCCTCAATATGGAAGTGACTCTCTTTTCAATGAGAGCAACATTCTTTGAAGTAGAGTGTGGTGGCCATATACAGAAATAAAAATTCCAAGCTAATCGAGGCAACCTAAAGATATGGGAAGAAGAGATTATCCTTTGAATGTAATCTTTCTCTGTCAGTACTTGTCCTATCACCACCATCTCCCACTTTTGTTAGACTTATTTAGAAACCTTTTTCAATGTAAACAGATGTACAAGTGAAATAAAAAGAGAAATGGTAACATCTCAGAGGCAGAGTACTCATTTGAAGTAACTCTTTTAGTTCTCATATAGTAAAGAAGTTGCTTTCCCTTAACTTTTTGTTTTATGGTTCAAAGTGGTATATGAAAACTAGTGAAAACCAGATCAACTGCATAGAACTTTATGGATTCTGACAAGAATGGAATGCATCTATTTTAAGGATTTATCATTATTCCATATCAATGGGGGAAAAACTTCAAAATTCAATGACAAAAGAAGAATAGTGTGACACACAGGAAGTATGTTTCTATAGTAAGAGAAAATAGAGAATTTGTAATTAAATCATTTTAGTCAATTAATAATTTAAGAGACACATTTAACACATCCTTTGCCTTTGATGTGAACTAAGGTTTAACATATTAATTGCCCCAATCTGATGTGAGATAATGCAAATTTAATCCTGCAACTGCTCTTTCCTATTTATTTTCATTGATGAGTCTTTCATGGTTCTCCAGCATGAGATGTTTCTTTTTAAAATATTTATGGTTGTGCCAAATATGTGTAGATTCCTTAAAAAAAAATCTCATTTTTCAAAGCAATTAAAAGTTAGAATAGGCCTCATTAAAATTCAGGAATAAAACTTGTCATTAAATGGAAGTAATTTGTGTGTTGAATACTAAAGGAATTGGCAGTTCTAGGCCGATGATGCCGAGCCCAGGCTAAAGCAGAGTAACAAGCCTTTAGTAAGTGAAACACGAGTTAAAGGGAATTCTAAAAAGCCACAGTCAACTCTATTTGCATATACGAGTAATAGAATTAGGTTTTTTTTTAATCATCTTTTGAAATACAGGTTGTTTCAGTGCATGTGAAAGAAGGAAAAGTGCTTGGGGTTTAGAATGAGGAATAAAAGAGTGTATATAACAAAAAGAGATAATCTGAATATATGTCCATGGGATAATGTTTCCATTTCATTCAGGAATGGGTGCTGCATAGTGCAGGTATTCTAAGCAGAATAAAATTGTAAAGAATGACCCCTTCTCTGGACTTAGGCTTAGGGGAGCCAGAAGAGAAATACTGAAGGCCCTTTAATGTTCTTGTCCAATGCCTGGAAAAATGATTTACAGGACTATCTTGAACAGGCAGAATTTAATTACTCATTGGATTTCAAGAAATTTACATATAAAATCTCCTTCTTTCTTATGCTACTCTTACAACACCTATCCTTTTTAAAATGAGGTTAAGGAAGGTCCTGAGATACTATCCATGCATTCTTCATTCCTACAATCCCCATATCTTTGCTGCAAAAACTTTAAGTCATTGAAATACTAGAAAGAGGATCTATGGCCTTAACTTTGCATGCATCAATATGAATGGTGGGTGGAGGAACTGCAGCTTGGATATAAAAATGCTAAGATATTAATAGAAACCAGCTCTAAGGAGGGGATGTGGAAGGATGTCTCATCTTGGGATATCAAATATATTAAATTTACTATCTGACTGAGGAGAAATTGTCCAGAAGATACGTGTTGGATGTAAACATTTTATATTTAGCTAGAATTTTTGCCACACATTCTGTCCCTAATTCCCCAGGTCTCATTGCTGCTGAACTGGGCTGGAAGTCAGGTCCAGCTCCAAGGCCTGATAGCTGCTTCATGCTTCTTTCTCTGGACTCATCTGAGCTTGACATTTCAGGAGATGTGATACCTTCTGCACATAGGCTGCCACCAACTGCTGCTGGATCTTAAGAAGAAACCAGTTGCAGCTAGAGGGGGGAGTGCAGAGCTCCTTCTTGCTTTCCTCAGAATGCTCCACCCTTAGTCAGAGGTAGGACAAGTGAGAGTCAACTACTAATGCACAAAGACTCTCATCCTTAAGTCAGGGTGAAAAGGTAGGGCAAGACCAACATCAGTCTTCATTTCACAGAAATTATGGAAGCACTATACGTGCTAGGCACTGTTGTCAATACAAGCATGAAGGTTTCCACCATTCAGGAAATTGCAATCTGGCAAAGTTTAGAGAACATTGAAGATCAATACTTTTGATCTTTTATTTGAGGAAAATAAACCTTTTCCTTAACCAAGTTCTTAACCAATTGAGAAAGACAAAGTTAACAGGAAGGCAAGATCAAAATATCAGCTTTGGTATGATAGAGATGTTGACAAATGCAGCTTAGATATGAGGCAACAACAGAATTTCTAATAATGCACTCAAGGTTAGATAGATGTAACCTCCAAGTCACAATCTCCCCTGCTTGCCACATACATAGAAGAGCAGATATCAGACTGTGCTTCCTGAAGAGTCAATTCCCAAGAGGAGTCAATTCCCAGGAAGCTATGTATATCCAGATAATTAGTCTAATTTTACCAACCAGGTTAATTCCTTCTCGTTCCATGGAAGAATGTGTTATTAAGAGACAGTTTTCTAACATAATCTTCTAGATTTTATCTCGCATGGTCTCCCAAGTAAAAGATAGGCAATCAATGAGTTTTGGGTCTGCCAAAATAATTTTATTGCTAACATCTTTTTTGCCAACTTTTTCTGGTTTGTGAATTCTCACCAGGTGGTGCTCTCCCTCAGACCAACATCTAACCCAGGACTTGAGGCCATGATTGTCCTTCATGGCTTCCATTTAATATGCTTTGTCTTTAGTATTATCCTAATTCCATGAACTTTTTGGGCATGGTCCCAATTCTGTCACTCCACCTTTAATCATAATCTTTCATGACAATTCACTCAGGAAGATCTGAGTATTTTTCACTGCTAATCATGTGGATTCCTCTTCTGTGGCTTTAAAGGAGTGTGTCTTGGTAGTTTCTTGCATACTGTCCCCCTCTGCAGGAGTCATTCCAATCTGCTCTTCAACATCTTTCCTTTCTTCCTTGCTGGATTTTGTTCAGGGCTAGGCACTCGTTCTGATATAGTCAAAATTAAAACATTTAAATAGTCCTCTGCTTAAGCATTGCTTCCAAAACATGTTTGCATGTTGTCACCACCTGGGAAGCTTTAAAAACACTAAGGCCAGATCGCACTCCCAGAGATTCTGGTTTATTTGTTCTGGGGTGTAGTTTCCCAGTAATTATAGTATCACCAATGTTTGAGAATCACTGAACTAAAATACATTCCCCTTTTCTATACTTTTTAAAAGAGCACTATGGCCCTTTAAAATTTTATGTTCATCTATTCTGACCTTGAAGTTCTGATATCTTCCCTGTCTAGTCTGTTTGCTAACATCGCAAGCATCCCCTTAAGACTCTCTCTTGCTTCTCCTTAACCAGTGTGTTGCTCTTTGATTTTAATTCTTCAGTTGTTCTCATTATAATAGGAAGACTAAATAAGTTGACATATTTTCTTTATAGTAAGGATCCTCTGTCTTTTTACTTGACTATTAACAAAATCTACAGCTCTTCTCCGGGTGAAGCCTAAGCTGGATCTTACATTAAAGCCACCTTCTGACCAAATGTCAGGGTGACTCTTGGGCCTATGAGAAAGTTTGATGAATTTAAGGTTAGTTGCTTCATGTTTTTCTTCTGATAACTGACTAAAAAATAGAATTCAGGATTAGGGACCAATCCCTAACTCTCTTCCTAGATATGGCACTAACATTAAATCTAGAACCTCATTAATGCCCTATAGAACTCAGCTGCACAACAGATCTGCCTGTGAAACAGTAAAATAAAAGAATGTTGCCCATCCACTGGCACTTGAGGAGGGTTCATCCACCACAGTATTGCATTCAACATGAGGTCCAATCATATTTGTGGAGTTCAAGGTCAGCCTGTAGCAGCTTCTGTCTGAGGCTTGCATGGCAGATCTCTGGATATATTGCTATGGCTGGGTGCCTACAGATCATTATTTATTTATTTTTATTAATTTTTTTGGTCAGACTCTTGCTCTGTTGCTCAGGCTGGAGTGCATTGTTGCTATCTTGGCTCACTGCAACCTCCGCCTCCCAGGTACAACTAATTCTTGAGCTTCAGCCTCCCAAGTAGCTGGGATTACAGGTGCACGCCACTATGCCTGGCTAATTTTTGTATTTTTTGTAGAGACAGGGTTTCACCATGTTGGCCAGGCTGGTCTCGAACTCCTGACTTCAAGTGATCCTCCCACCTTGGCCTCCCACAGTGCTAGGATTACAGGCATAAGCCACTGTGCCTGGCCCAAGTTATGTGGTAAAATATAAGCTTCTAAAACCAAAGGTAAAGAAACATGCTTCTCTTGGGCCACAGCAGCTGCCTTAATCTCCAGGTATTATTTTTAGTGCCAAAGTTTCACTCTTTGTTTATCTCTCATGGTCCTTGAACTAGAACATTAGAAGGATCATATCTAATAGCCCCTTTCTTCATTCCACTAGAGATTGAGGAATAGGAAGAATGAGATCAAGTGCCAACTTCTTACTAATAGGGCTTTTGGAGAATGTGACTAAGTTGCATGACAACAGTGGTACTTTTAATGTTGCACACCCAAATTAGGGTTATCCAATCACAGGCAACCTAGAAGAGCACAGAGAACTCTTAAAGAGTGAAATGACCAGTTTCTACAAAACAGAAGGCTTGGAAGAACAGACCACAACATGTGCTTCCTGAAGTTAGTCTGGCCCACTGAGGTTTTGTCCCAAGCTCATCAATCATCTAAGTCACTCTTCTAAAAGTACTCTGCTAACAGAAGTCCCTCCATATGAGAACTGGACCCAAGGGAGAAGAGCTTTGTTCCCTTCAACAAAGGAGATCAGATGTGAACATAGGGCCCATTACACCAGCAACATGCAAGTGACACCATAAAAAACTTGGCAGCCTCAGTCTGAAGAAGAAAGAAAGACTCATGATTATTGCAATGAAAGAGAGAGACAGCACTTGCATTAAATCTTAAAGGGTAGGAGACACAGCATAAAACAGATCTGTAGAAGCATCTATGGCAGAAACAGCACCAGAGAATAAGTTAGGAAAGTTGCAGATGAAGTGCAGTTTTAATTCTATCATCCAATGTAAGCTCTATCATTCCTGCCTTAATTAGCTCATCTCTCCCTGTGTGTAAGTTAATCACATTTCCATTTAATATTTTATAAATCATCTCACATAAAACATTTTCTATGGCTCTTACAGTGTGCAAATGACACAGCAGTGGATCCCAGCACCTCCAGTTCAACATATTTTCTGGTTTGTCCTCTAATAAGAATCATATCCTGTGGAGCTGTGGTCTCAAGTGACTGAACTACAGACTTTGTCAAAAGTCACAAGGCTAGCCATGACCTGCTGGAACATCCAGCTTCCTTCCACATGGTAGGTGGTAATGGCCTAAGGAACAGCCTTGAAAAAGATACTTTCTTTGAGCAGGACTGCAAGTTTATCTTGAAATCAGGAACAATCCATCCTCCAGCCCAGGAATAGAGAAAAAAAAATGCTCCTGTAGGTTCCCATTCACGGAAAGGCATCCATCCATTCCTGTGCTTACTGCACTCCCATGAAAAGAAGTGCAAGTGATCTTTAATGCAAAAATGTTATAACTTATTAACACATAAATGCTGTAACTTATAAACATATAATTAGGAAAACATTATATGACTTTTCAATGATGTGAAAATCTTATGTGTGTGACAACACACACTCGAATGTAGTAGATTTTTAGTCTTCCTTACAATTTTTAGTTAGCTGTCAGAAAAATATAGAACTCTAGAATTATGAATTATGCAAATTTAATACATTAAACATTCATATCACATGAGAGTAGGGAGGTGAGCATAGAGAATGTTAATCATTTTTAAAGGTAATATCTTTATTCTTAAATAGTGTCTCTCATTTTCTGGTCTTGCCTGGATATTTGTCTGTATCCAGACAAATACTGTATCCAGACAAAAACTGTCTGTGACAGTTCCCACAACTGGAAACATCTAGCCACAGACTTTAGGAGATCAACCAAGTCTTTGTGACTTAATACGGAAGTGCCCACATGGGTCATCAGACCTTAATTTTTCCAGTTTTGATGACTGAGCTGCTGGTCTGTCTCCTTTACCTCCCAGTCTCAGGATTTGGCCTCCACATAGGACCCAGACTTCTGATGAAAGGGCCTGCTTTGCATGCTCTTATCTTCCTCCCTAGAGCACTTCACAGTGCCTTTTAAAGCCTTGTTATTAGTCCTGCTTTAAACATGAGGAGACTTCTCACCTCAATGACACTGTTGTGAAGATTAAATGAGATTTAATGCATGCAGCACCACCCAGACCCCAGGCACTCAATGAATGCAAACCCCTGACATCCTTTCTTCTCTCTCTAGACATTTACTGAAAACGGCTAAATATTACTAGATCTAAAGAGAGAGATAGACTACAAGACAATAATAGTAGGGTACTTCAATACTGTACTGTCAGCATTAGACAGAGCATCTAGACAGATAATCAACAAAGAAACTCTGGATTTAAACTTGTCTTTAGACCAAACGGACCTAACAGACAACTGCAGAACATTCTATTCAACAACGGCAGAGCGTGCATCTTTTTTTTTTTTTCATCAGCACATGAAACATTCTCCAGGATAGACCAAATGTTAGGCCACAAAACAAGTCTCAACAAATTTTTAAAAATGGAAATTGTACCAAGTATCTTCTCAGACCACAATGGAATAAAACTAGAAATCAATACCAAGAGAAACTTTGGAAACTATATAAATGCATGGAAATTAAACAACATGCTCCTGAATGACAATTGAATCAACAAATAAATTAAGATGAAAATTAAAAAAATTATTGAAGCAAATGAAAATAGAAACACAACATACCAAAACCTGTGTGAAACAGAAAAAATAGCATTAAGAAGGGAGTTTACATCAATAAATATCTACATCCAAGAAGGAGAAAAATTACAAATTAACAATCCAACAATGCATCTCAATAAACTAGAAAAGCAAGAACAAACCAAACTGCAAATTAGCAGAGGAAAATATATAGATTATAGCAGGGCTGGGTGCAGTGGCTTACACCTGTAATCCCAGCACTTTGCGAGGCCGAGGCGGGCGGATCACAAGCTCAGGAGATTGAGACCATCCTGGCCAACATGGTGAAACCCCATCTCTACTAAAATACAAGAAAAAAAAAATTAGCCAGGCATGGTGGTGTGCTCCTGGAGTCCCAGCTACTCGGGAGTCTGAGGCAGGAGAATCACTTGAACACGGGAGGTGGAGGTTGCAGTGAGCTGAGACTGCGCCACTGCACTCCAGCCTGGTGACAGAGCGAGACTCCATCTCAAAAAAAAAAAAAAAATTATAGGAGAATAAAATATAATAGAGACTTAAAAAATAGAAAGGATCAACAAAAGGAAAAATTTGTTATTTGAAAAGATAAACAAAACTGATAAACCACTAGATAGGCTATGCAAGAAGAGAGAAGATCCAAATAAACAAAATCAGAAATGAAAATGGAAACATTCAACTGATACCACAGAAATACAGAAGATCATCGGATAATATTATGAACAACTATACACTGACAAACTGGAAAACCTAGAGGAAATAAATTCCTGAAAACATATAACCTACGAAGATTTAATCAGGAGGAAATATAAAACCTGAACAGACTAATAGTGAGGTGCAAAATTGAATCAGCAATACAAAGTGTCCCAACAGAGGAAAGCTCAGGACTGGATGGAATCACAGCTAAATTCCACCAAATGTACAAAGAAGAACTGGTACCAATCTTCTTGAAACTAGCCTAGAAAACTGAAGAGAAGGGAATTCTTTCTAACTCGTTATATGAGGCCAGAATAATCCTCATACTAAAACAAGATAAGGACACATTGAAGAAAACTACAGGCCAATACTCCTGATGTACATAGATGCAAAAATCCTCAATTAAATGTTAGCAAACTGAATCCAACAGCACATCAAAAGGATAATACACCATGCTCAGGTGGGGTTTATTCAAGGGATGCGAGGATTGTTCAATATATGCATATCAATAAATGTGAGGCATTGCATCTACAGAATTAAGGACACCAACCATACGATCATCTAAATAGATGCAGAAAAAAATTTAATAAAATTCAACATCCCTTCATGATAAAAATCACGCCAAACTAGGCCTATAAAAATATCCCTCAAAATAATAAAGGCCATATATGACAAACCTACAGCTAACATCATACTAAATGAGAAAAAAATTGAAAGCCTTTTATCTAAGAACTGCAACAAGACAAGGATGCCTACTTTCTCTACTCTTATTCAACATAGTATTGGAAGTCCTAGCCAGAGTAATCAAGCAAGAGCTAGAGAAAGGAAAGACATCCAAATTGAAAAAGAGGAAGTCAAAATGTCCTTCATTGCTAATAATAAGATCTTATACCTAGGAAAACCTAAAGACTCCATCATAAAACTTTAAAATTTGATATATTAATTCAGGGAAGATGTAGGTTACAAAGTGAACATACAAAAACCAGTAGCATTTTCATACACCAATAGTGGTCTAACTGAGTAATAAATCAAGAAGCCAGTCCTGTTTACAATAGCTTTAGAAAAACAAACCAACCAACCTAGGAATAAACTTAGCCAAGGGAGTGAAATATCTGTATAAGGAAAACTACAAAACACTGATGAAAAAAATGGAAGGCGATACAAACATGAGATGGAACACTTCTCATGCTCATGGATGGGAAGAATTCATATCATTCAAATAACCATGTTGCCCAAAGCAATCTACAGATTCCATGCAATCCTTATGAAAATACCAATGTCATTCTTCACAATCCTGAGTAAAAAGAGCAAAGCTGGAGGCATGATGCTACCAGACTTAATATATTACAAGGCTCTAGTAACGTAAACCGTATGGTAGTGATATAAAAACAGACAAATAGACCAATGGAACAGAATAGAGAACCCAGAAATAAAACCACATATTTGCCACCAGTTGATCTTCAGCAAAGCTGACAACAACTTACACTGGGGAAAGGATGCCCTCTTCATTAAATAGTGATAGGAAAATTGGATAGCCATGTGCAGAAAATGAAACTGGATCCCTATTGCTCACTATGTGCAAAAATCAACTCAAAATGGATTAAAGACTTAAATCTAAGACCTGAAACCATAGAAGCACTCAAAGAAAACCTAGAGAAAACTCTCCTGGAGATTGGCCTATGCAAAGAATTTATGACTAAAATCTCAAAAGCACAGGCAGCAAAAACAAAAATAGACAAACGGGACTATTTTAAACTAAAAAGTTTATACACTGCAAAGGTAACAATCAATACAGCAAAGAGAAAACCTGTTGAATGAGAGAAGGTACTTGCAAATCAGTTAACTGACAGGGGACTAGTATTCAAAATATACTAGGAACTCAACTCAAAAGGAAAGAAAATTAAATAATCCCATTAAAAAGTAAGTAAAGGATATAAATTGACCTTTCTCCAAAGATGACATACAAATGGCTAATAGGTACATGAAGAAATGGTCAACATCACTAATCATCAGAGAAATACAAATTAAAACCACAATGATATTTTGTCTTACACCAGCCAGAATGGTTATTATTAAAAAGACAAAAACACACACACACCAGTGTTAGTGAGCATGTGGAGAAAAGGTAACTCTTATATGCTCTTCATGGTAATGTAAACTTGTGAACAACACTATGAAAAACACTTTGGAGAGTTCTCAAAAAACTAAAAATAGAATTACAATTAAACCCAGTAATCCCATTACTAAGTATCTACCCATAGGAAAATAAATCAACATATCAAAGGGATACCTGAACTGAAATGTTTATTGCAGGACTATTAACAATATCTAAGATACGGAATCAACCTAAGTGTTCATCAACAGATGAATGGATAAAGAAAATGTGATATGTATACACAATGGAATACTATTCAGTCATGAAAAGAAATAAGATCATGTCATTTGCATGGATGGAATTAGAGGTCTTTATCTAGAGTGAACTAAGCCAGGCACAAAAGGATAAACATTGCATGTTCTCACCTATATGTGGGAGTGAAAAAATTTGAACACATAGAGTTAGAGAGTGGAAAGATAGATAACAGAGACTGGGATGGGTAAGTGCGGGGGTGGAGAGTGGGGATGATGAAGAGAAGTGGGTTAAAGTAAACAAATGTATAGTAAGATAGAAGGAATAAATTCAATGTTTGATAACAGAGTAGGATAACTATATAACTATACTTAAATGTATTATATTTGGGTGAGGGACACTCTAAATACCATGACTCAATCACTATGCATTATAAACATGTAACACAATTTCTCATGTATCCCACAAATTTGTACAAGTAAAAACTCCAAATATAAAAAAGCAGTGTTTCATGAAAAATGTGTCAAGTGCAGCTTGAAATTCAATCACACTAGTACTTTTTCTCAAGATAACCATCATGCTTCCATATGTAGCAGATGAATTTTATGTGTACTTCCCATTTCATCATATACAGTACTAAAAAGGCACACTCAAGGAGTAAAATTTGTTAAAATTATTTTTTACTGCCTCATGAAGGACATGCTTAATTGAAACTTTTTTTCCCTGCAAGTACATTGCTGTGAATGATACAATTATTACTGGTCCATTTTCACTTGGTGCCACTGCCTTGATTTGTGCTGTGTGCCAGCAAATTTACCAGGGATTGATCTTACATCACGAGTATAAATGTCAATATAATGAAAAAGACATATAACTTCTTAGCATCGCTATGGAATTAATTTTGACTTTGCAGAGTCTCTAACAGTCTTGAGGATCGCAGGGGTCCTTGAACCATACTTTGAACTGCTAATATATGCTGTAGATATTGCATGGCTTGAAATGCAGTAGGAACTGTGATGTCCCTTAGTAAGGAACGTCAGTTCCATTATGATGATGTATCACAAATTTTATAATGTGAGTGTGTGTGAGCATGTGTTTGAACCTATGGCATGGCACGTTATCATTACAGATCTACGAGAAATGCCCTCTCTCCAAGCTTCTATTTAGGTTGGTACAAAAGAAATTGTGGCACCAACTAATACGTTTTAATAAGTTTAATCTCTTCCCTTTGTTCCCCATGCTCTAGGAGTGGTAGCTGCTTCCTGCAGTTACATCTTCTGTGAAAACTTCAGTGCTCCCTTTGTGCTTGGTGTGGATATAAACAAAAACCACCCAAATGAAAAAAAATAGTTGCTATCCATTCAGAGCTTGTTAATTGGATTGAGTCACCCACCATTACTTGCATTTGGTAGAGGCTGTCAGCAGGCATGTGAGTGGGAAAGTTTTGCAGTAAAAAAAGGGAGAGGCTCCAGATATGTCCTGATTGCAGGTTGTTAGCATAAGAAAGCTGGAGGTGGACTAACTAGAAGAGGGCATCTTATGTGATTGGTTTGGAGAACATAGTTGCCTTTTTCTGGTTGGTCCTGAGTTGAAAGCAGAGGAAAAAATAGGGAAACTGGTCATCATTGACCAAGCCCTGACCATTTTTGGCCATTTACTGCAGAGGTTGTTGATCAGAGTTCTATTTTTGAATATGGTCTTGCCATTGTCTGTATATTCAATTCCTCACTGGTTAACAGTTCTTTATATTAAGTTCACCCTGTTAAAATGACTGGTATGGTTACTGTTGTCTGGGTAGACTCTGATAAAACTCATTAAGCTGTTTGCCTATGATTAACCTGCCACTTATAATTAACCTTAGAAGGTTGCTTATAATATAGCAAAACTATTGGGTAAACTATTGGATCAACATTTAAATCACCATAATTTACCACAAAGATGGAAAATCAAGAATGACAAAGGAGGTAGGTGAAATGCTAGGATGACCCATTATCTTGGTCTGCTCGGGACGGAGGAGTTTCCAGGTAGTAGAACTCAGTGCAAATATTGGGACAGTCTAGAAAATTAGGAGAGTTATCTCCCCTATGGCAATGCCCAATGTTGTACAGCGCTAACAATCTTTTTTTTTTTTTCCTTCCACCCAAACACTACAAAATGCTTCAGTCAATGAGAGCTGCATTCTCTTGGATTCTCCATGGGTGGGGAAAATCAAACACCAAACTTGTTGGGGTGGAGGAGCATAAGTAATTTTATATCCCACCTCCTACTAAAAGTACCCCTCTTTCTCCAGGTAGACAATGATCTGAGTTTTGAGGAGGCAAATTATTTCCTTAATACAATCAGTTGGCATAGGTGTTATTTAATCTGTGACTTCTACACACTTAATATGGTTCAATTTATTTTTTAAAAAGCTTTCAGAAACAATATTATTTTTAGAAACAGGAAATACTCTTTTTTCCCCCCACCTCCTTATATAATGCTGGCGGAGGATAATTACATTCACATGTGATATTTAAATTAGGCAAAAGGGTGTATGTGTTCCAAAACAACTGAACAAAGGAAAGAGATAAACACAAAGTATTTCATGTTTGAAGACATTTCCTCTGGCTCTCTAACAGAGAGCAATTTAATTCTAAAAGAGTGCATGTATTGATTCAAGTGCTGGCCCCTTGATACTTAACAGATGAAAGAAGCCCATGAAAGGGCACTTACTGTTCACATTTCCCAATATGAGAGAACAAGTATTAATAAAGGGAGGGAGTTAATCTTAGAAAATGATACTTCCCACAAAAGACTCCATGTATTGAAAATCTTTTATAAAGTAGAGTTGTAGGCTATTAGTACAAAAGAATACATGGCTTGTGAGAGAATGAGTTCAGAGAGAACATTTGGGGAGAATGGCTCTGGCTGCTGCTTTGAATAGAGATGACAGTCACGGATACCTGAAGCCAAATTGAGATTAGGGGAGTGTCTAATCTTGGGAAGAGTTGTGAAAATGTGTGTGTCTGCTTTTCACTTTCAGCACTTCTGCTCCTTCTGCTCACTCTCCATATTTCTAGGCTATAGGTGTCTTCAGCAGGTGTGGATTGTTGTCTATCTATTGGCTGCTAAAATGGTGGCTACAAGTGGGCCTGGCTTGAACAATAGGAGGCATGATCTCTCCAGATAGTTTATACCTGAATTCATTCATTAAAAGAATGAAAAAGAATACTGGAAGATCATGTGAGGCTTCTTAAAAGGAGTATCTGATATCTATTACATGTAACATATAAACAGGTAAATCACCTTGTTGTGAATTAAGTCACTGGCCAAGGAGATGAATTAGGAAGAAGAGGTATTAACAGTTATTAAGATGGTCCGGTTCTTTGGGCAGTGTGATAGGTTTTTAATAAACACTAGTGCTTTTAGTCTTCACAAAAATCAAATGGTAATATTCATGATTGAAAGGGTGAGTATATTGAGCATTGGAGAAGATAACTTGTCCAAGAGTGTTCAGATTGCTATGAATTGGCCTAATCCATTTGGTCTGCCCTAACTATTAGGTTCTTTTCAATAGATAAGGGTAGCCAGTGTCAAAGAAAAAACTGCGCTGGCTACTTTAACAGGCAAAAAAAGACTTTATTCAAGGCTATTACAATAGAGTAGAGAGACTAGAACTATGGCTGAGCTCAACTCTCCTGAAACAAAGAGTTCGGCTAGGTTGATCTTAGGCCAGTTGATTTTGTTAACTGGCTTTACCCAAAAGAAGAAGAAAAAAAACTGTGTCTAGTATCTTCATGACAAGGGGTAATTTTACAACTTGAAAGAAGGCACCTGACAAAGTTAAGCTACTGTCCTCCTAGAGAACCTAGGAGATGGAGTGCTATCTTCCTTGATGATTACTTTTGAAAGCAATGGCTTTCTGGTCTTTGAGAAAGACATTCCTAGTTGTAAAACTTGGAAGAGGCTTTTAAAAATATTTACATCTTAAAAAGGGCACAGAAAATAATCTACAATTACAACTTTTCTAAAGCAAATAAGTGCTCTTAGAAGGAGGTTAGGTGCCTAGACAGGAAGAAACCTGTCTAAAGTTCAGTCAAACTGAGAACATTAAGGTCATCTTGATCGGTTGTCCATTTTGTTTAAAGAAAACCAGGTATCCCATTGAACAACTTAGGAAAGTTGTTTTATGTAGTTTATTTCATCAGATTTCTGTTATTAAAAGACTAGTTGAACCATCTGCTGAGACTTCGCAGTAGGAGATATTTGCTATGAGCAATCAGGCATTTAGTGAGGGGAATTTCTATGGAAATCAAAAGGAAAACAAAAATTAATGATTGGAGTAGACCAATTTTTGAGTCTAGAGGGCAGCCAGTCAAGATTTCTATACACTGGGCTTTAGGCTTCTTAGAAGGTAGAATGAGGACATCAGGAGCAATCTGAAGGATTTCCCAATTTGAATGTTTTTAGTGATGGCATAGACATCAGAGAGGCTTTGGTAAGATTGTCCAGTCATATTTATTTTCTGGAGTAGATGAGGGAAGATGTGGGAATTCTGGTGAACTCCCTGAGTGGCCCACACAGAGCAGTTTCACATACAAGTTGCCCATACTTGATCAACTGTTGAGATGAGTCATTTGAAGTTTATATCAAGTCATATGGCTTCAGCTCAAAGGGTTTCTTCAGGTCCTGGTGAAAAGGTCAGCT
The DNA here is from genome assembly GCF_000001405.40 of Homo sapiens. Classification (NCBI taxonomy): domain Eukaryota; kingdom Metazoa; phylum Chordata; class Mammalia; order Primates; family Hominidae; genus Homo; species Homo sapiens. Next base: position 32,191,178 of record NC_000009.12, on the reverse strand, counting down.
AAAAGACAGCCTAGGGTCCCAATAAGGACACAGGCAGTTAGGTTTTATTTTTTGATGATACCACATTTAAAAAAGTGGTAAATTATCCTGAATCACAAAATAAGTCAAGTAATAGATTTGGCTTGATTATTTACATTATTGTAGCAAGAATGGTAATTATATACACCTTTTTTTTAATTATACTTTAAGTTCTAGAGTGCATGTGCACAACATGCAGGTTTGTTACATATGTATACATGTGCCATGTTGGTATGCTGCACCCATCAACTTGTCATCTACATTAGGTATATCTCCTAATGCTATCCCTCCCCACTCCCCCTACCCCACGACAGGCCCCAGTGTGTGATGTTTCCCTTCCTGTGTCCAAGTGTTCTCATTGTTCAATTCCCACCTACGAGTGAGAACGTGCGGTGTTTGGTTTTTTGTCCCTGCGATAGTTTGCTGAGAATGATGGTTTCCAGCTTCATCCATGTCCCTACAAAGGACATGAACTCATCCTTTTTAATGGCTGCATAGTATTCCATGGTGTATATGTGCCATATTTTCTTAATCCAGTCTATCATTGTTGGACATTTGGGTTGGTTCCAAGTCTTTGCTATTGTGAATAGTGCCACAATAAACATACATGTGCATGTGTCTTTATAGCAGCATGATTTATAATCCTTTGGGTATATACCCAGTAATGGGATAGCTGGGTCAAATTGTATTTCTAGTTCTAGATCCTAGAGATCGCCACACTGTCTTCCACAATGGTTAAACCAGTTTACAGTCCCACCAACAGTGTAAAAGTGTTCCTATTTCTCCACATCCTCTCCAGCACCTGTTGTTTCTTGACTTTTTAATGATCGCCATTCTAACTGGTGTGAGATGGTATCTCACTGCAGTTTTGATTTGCATTTCTCTGATGGCCAGTGATGATGAGCACTTTTTCATGTGTCTTTTGGCTGCATAAATGTCTTCTTTTGAGAAGTGTCTGTTCATGTCCTTCGCCCACTTTTTGATGGGGTTGTTTGTTTTTTTCTTGTAAATTTGTTTGAGTTCATTGTAGATTCTGGATATTAGCCCTTTGTCAGATGAGTAGATTGCAAAAATTTTCTCCCATTCTGTAGGTTGCCTGTTCACTCTGATGATAGTTTCTTTTGCTGTGCAGAAGCTCTTTAGTTTAATTAGATCCCATTTGTCAATTTTGGCTTTTGTTGCCATTGCTTTTGGTGTTTTAGACATGAAGTCCTTGCCCATGCCTATGTCCTGAATGGTATTGCCTAGGTTTTCTTCTAGGGTTTTTATGGTGTTAGGTCTAACATTTGAGTCTTTAATCCATCTTGAATGAATTTTTGTATAAGATGTAAGGAAGGGATCCAGTTTCAGCTTTCTACATATGGCTAGCCAGTTTTCCCAGCACCATTTATTAAATAGGGAATCCTTTCCTCATTTCTTGTTTTTGTCAGGTTCGTCAAAGATCAGATGGTTGTAGATATGTGGCATTATTTCTGAGGGCTCTGTTCTGTTCCATTGGTCTATATCTCTGTTTTGGTACCAGTACCATGTTGTTTTGGTTACTATAGCCTTGTAGTATAGTTTGAAGTCAGGTAGGGTGATGCCTCCAGCTTTGTTCTTTGGTTTAGGATTGTCTTGGCAATGCAGGCTCTTTTTTGGTTCCATATGAACTTTAAAGTAGTTGTTTCCAATTCTGTGAAGAAAGTCATTGGTAGCTTGATGGGGATGGCATTGAATCTATAAATTACCTTGGGCAGTATGGCCATTTTCATGATATTGATTCTTCCTATCCATGAGCATGGAATATTCTTCCATTTGTTTGTATCGTCTTTTATTTCGTTGAGCAGTGGTTTGTAGTTCTCCTTGAAGAGGTCCTTCATATCCCTTGTAAGTTGGATTCCTAGGTATTTTATTCTCTTTGAAGCAATTGTGAATGGGAGTTCACTCATGATTTGGCTCTCTGTCTGTTATTGGTGTATAAGAATGCTTGTGATTTTTGCACATTGATTTTGTATCCTGAGACTTTGCTGAAGTTGCCTATCAGCTTAAGGAGATTTTGGGCTGAGACAATGGGGTTTTCTAAATATAAAATCATGTCATCTGCAAACAGGGACAATTTGACTTCCTCTTTTCCTAATTGAATACCCTTTATTTCCTTCTCCTGCCTGATTGCCCTGGCCAGAACTTCCAACACTATGTTCAATAGGAGTGGTGAGAGAGGGCATCCCTGTCTTGTGCCAGTTTCCAAAGGGAATGCTTCCAGTTTTTGCCCTTTCAGTATGATATTGGCTGTGGGTTTGTCATAAATAGTTCTTATTATTTTGAGATACATCCCATCAATACCTAATTTATTGAGGGTTTTTAGCATGAAGCGCTGTTTAATTTTGTCAAAGGCCTTTTCTGCATCTATTGAGATAGTCATGTGGTTTTTGTCATTGGTTCTGTTTATATGCTGGATTACATTTATTGATTTGTGTATGTTGAACCAGCCTTGCATCCCAGGGATGAAGCCCACTTGATCATGGTGGATAAGCTTTTTGATGTGCTGCTGGATTCAGTTTGCCAGTATTTTATTGAGGATTTTTGCATCGATGTTCATCAGGGATATTGGTCTAAAATTCTCTTTTTTTGTTGCGTCTCTGCCAGGCTTTTCTATCAAGATGATGCTGGCCTCATAAAATGAGTTAGGGAGGATTCCCTCTTTTTCTATTGATTGTAATAGTTTCAGAAGGAATGATACCATCTCCCCCTTGTAACTGTGGTAGAATTCGGCTGTGAATCCGTCTGGTCCTGGACTTTTTTTGGTTGGTAGGCTATTAATTATTGCCTCAATTTCAGAGCCTGTTATTGGTCTATTCAGGGATTCAACTTCTTCCTGGTTTAGTCTTGGGACGGTGTATGTGTCCAGGAATTTATCCCTTTCTTCTAGATTTTCTAGTTTATTTGCGTAGAGGTGTTTATAGTATTCTCTGATGGTAGTTTGTATTTCTGTGGGATCGGTGGTGATATCCCCTTTATCATTTTTTATTGCATCTATTTGATTCTTCTCTCTTTTCTTCTTTCCTAGTCTTGCTAGCGGTCTATCAATTTTGTTGATCTTTTCAAAAACCAGCTCCTGGATTCATTGATTTTTTTTTGAAGGGTTTTTTTGTGTCTCTGTCTCTTTCAGTTCTGCTCTGATCTTAGTTATTTCTTGCCTTCTGCTAGCTTTTGAATGTGTTTGCTCTTGCTTCTCTAGTTCCTTGAATTGTGATGTTAGGGTGTCAATTTTAGATCTTTCCTGCTTTCTCTTGTGTGCATTTAGTGCTGTATATGTACTGCTGATGAAATCTGGTGAGAAGTTCTTAACTCTACTTTCTAGCCTGAAGAAGCTTTTAAAAGTGCAATCTGAAACTCCTTATGAAAACTTCCAGCAAAGCAAAATTAAGAAGGTAGAGTTAAGAACTTGTCACCAGATTTCACCAGCAGTGCAGATATATTTGGATGAATTCCTCTCTTCTTGAGGTTCTCAAAATATTTTAATGTTCTTGGGCCTGCCAGGAAGTGACTTTCCTTACTCAACTCTAAGGCTGGGAATCCTATAAGCCAGGCATTCGGATGGCTTTCCCAAGAGGGCTTTGTTCGCATTGACTCCATAAAGTCAACTTCATTCCTTAAAACTGTCTGGTCATATTTGATTCTGTGCATGTCAAACTCAAATATGATATTCCAGTGAAAGTCTTGGTTATATAATCAATGTTTCTAATTATGCTTGTTACCAGGAGGACAGATTCTTACGAAACCTATGCAAACAATTATATTGCCATGAAAATAAGAATACTTAAGAGTTTCTGAATTCTGGAGACAGGAGGCAAGAAGAAAAAAATGTTTCATTTCTGTTTACAAAATCATAATTTACTAAATTTTTTATGAATTATATGTAGCTTAAAAGAGAAAAAAGGAAATAGAACATTAAATCATCAGTAATATTCCAAATTCATCAGTAATATTCCAAATCCATAATCATTTTTCATCATTTCATTCAGTCTTACAGAATTACTTCTTGTCCGCTTGATATTAGGTTAGCAATATCATGCACCCAACAGCTTCTCCATCAGAGTTTTGGAAATCTGGAAATTCTAACTTAGTCCAGCAGTATGGTCTCAAAGTTATTTGAGCAGGGCCATCAGAAGTGTATGTCCCAGAGTGCTTAGTATAGTCCCTTCCATGGGTCTCTGTAAAAAGCCCTTATTGAAGGTTTTTTTGTTGTTGTTGAAGACAGGGCATTCTTGTCTGTTGCTAATTGCAAGCACTTTCAGGAAAGCATTAGGATAAAACAAAAATATACGGACAATCCCCAACTTATGACTTAATGATTTTTCAACTTTATAATTGTGTGAAAGAGATATATACCCATTCAGTAGGAATTGTACATTTATAACCCATAACGTGCTTCTGTTTTTCAATTTCAGTACAGTATTCAATCAATTACATGAGCTATTTAACACTTTAATATAGGCTTTGTGTTAGATGTTGCCCAACTATAGGCTAATGTAAGTGTTCTGAGCATGTTTACGATAGGCTAGGCTAAGCTATGAGGTTCAGTAGGCCAGGCATGTTAAATGCATTTTTGACTTACAGTATTTTCAGCTTATAACGGTTTTATCAGCTGTAACCCCATTGTAAGTCAAGGAACATCTGTATCTGTGGATGACAAAGGACTAAAAATTCCTGTGATTAAATATATAATGAAAGTTCATTACACGAATAATGGACTGACAAATATATTTGGCTGTTTCTGTGGCATACATTTAAAAAACCCTGGGTTATGACTGACAGTACTATACTCTAGTTTGATAGAAGACATAGCAGCGCTAGAACCTATCATAGACAGTGAAAGCATTGATAAGTTTTCAGGAATTTAGCATAATTTCTAAAATATTTATATTAACAACATTTTACCCATAAAAATATAACCCAAGAAAGCATAGCATATTTTACTTGACAACACTTCCCATGAAATTCAGCATCTCATAAAAACCTAATTTTTTTTGTACCTTTCTGTTTATAAGGAGAAAGATCCTTTATTACTTTCCAGTTTCCCCAAGTCAGTTTTAGGTATAAAAAATATTATTTAGGATTAGATTTTTGGAAGACAAAATGTCAACTATTGTCAGGAGGTTTGACCAGTTAGTTAAATCAGACTACGAGTTATTGAGAAATGAGATTTTGCTACCTATTTAACCAAAGTGACAATGAGAGATTTCAAAAACAAATATAGGAGGTAAAATAACTGTAAAAATTCTAGCTCCTTTACAAGTGAGAAGACTCTGTTTTTTTAAATAGTCAAGAACATAATGAAGTCAACATGAAGCACAGGAAATTATTCTAATAAAACACAGAATCTTTACTTCCTAGATCGATAATATAGTTCGGACATGTGTCCCTAAATCTCATGTTGAATTGTAATTCCCAGTATTGGAGGTGGGGCCTGGTGGGAGGTGATTGAATCATGGGGGTGGATTTCTCATGAACAGTTTAGCACTATCTTATTGATGCTGACCTCATGATAGTGACTGAGTTCTCTGGAGATCTGCGTGTTTAAAAGTGTGTGGCCCCTCGTCCCCACCCCACTTGTTCCCGCTTTTGCCATGTGAAGTGACTGCTCCCCCTTGCCTTCTGTCATGATTGTAAGATTCCTAAAGCCTACTCAGAAGCTGAGTGGACATTAGCACCATGCTTCCTGTAAAGCCTGCAGAACCGTGAGACAAACCTTTTTTCTTAATAAATGACCAGTGTCAGGTATTTCTTTACAGCAATGCAAGAATGAACTAATACAATGAATTATTCAAAGGTAAAGAACACTATTTACAAACTTTTATTAAGAGCAGACCAATAATCTAAGAAATATTTGTCACTTTCACAGAGGGAAACAAACTCTAGTTTTCTATCGGTATAGTACTGATACTAAAACTCATTAAAAAAAAAAAAAAAAACATCAAATCTTAGCCATACTGATCCCTAGTAGTAAAATTTCTTTTCTGTAAACCTTTATAGCTTTTCAAATCCATTAAGGCTTTCTCCTACACTTTTTCATCCCTTTTCTGGTACAACCATTCATCTTATTTTAGGATTTTTTTTTTTCCCTTAACAAAACCACATCCTACGTATCTTGTAAATTTTGGATAGAAAATTGTTTTCCTTTGCCCCTATTGCTTCTCGTGCTTTCATTTGCACACATTGATCATAATTTTTAACTATTAGTAACTGTTATTTCACAGAAGAAACTAGGAAGTGGATAATTGTAAACTGTCTGTCACATGCCAGCATTTTGTAGCCGACTAGCAAAGCCAATGGATATTTGATCTCACAATGTTATAGTTCTATGCTTCCTTATAGTAGTTTCTCAATGTTTATCAAGCATACTCAAAGAAGAAACATATTTATCAACATACTTAAATATACGTAGCCTTTCTATATCATATTATAAAAGAAGCCAAAGTATATAAACTTAAGTTTATTTTATTTTATATTTATTTACTTATTTTGAGACGGAGTCTTGCTCTGTCACCCAGGCTGGAGTGCAGTGGTGCGATCTCAGCTCACTGAAAGCTCCGCCTCCTGGGTTCACGCCATTCTCCTGCCTCAGCCTCCCGAGTAGCTGGGACTACAGGCGCCCGCCACCGCGCCCGGCTAATTTTTCATATTTTTCGTACAGACGAGGTTCCACCGTGGTCTCGATCTCCTGACCTCGTGATCCGCCTGCCTCGGCCTCCCAGAGTGCTGGGATTACAGGCGTGAGCCACCGCGCCTGGCCCAAACTTAAGTTTATGTTTAGTAATCAATGTCTCAGTATTTAATCTTATTTAAAGATCATCTAGATATTTAATAACTATCTATTACTTAATTTAGCATAAGTCTAAAGTTGTAAGTTACCAAAAAGTATTTTGGAAACTATTTTAAGCAGACTATCATAAAGCATAATTGTTCAAATAAACTAATCACACAAGATGCCTGGTTTCTAGTTAGTCCACCTGCAACCTCCAATGAGGGCGTACCTGAAGCCTTCCCTTTTCCTCCCACTGCCTACCTTTCCCGTCCCTCTGCCTGCCTTTGAGTATCTTCCAAATGCAAATGATAGTGGCTAGCTCCCGAGCTACAGCAAGCTCTGAATAAATAGCTTTTGCTTATTCTCATGCGAGTAGTCTTCTTTTACTTCCACACATTCATGGGAAACTATTTCTAATATCTACTTTGGTATTTATAATAATAAGCTACTAATATCATCAATAAAACCCCACTTCTAACATTCATTTTGTCAATTGGCATAGTTTGTGGTATAGCAGGAGACACAGAAAACTGAGGTATTTGTGACAATTATATCTGCAATATGGTCTTTCTGATTAAATGGTAGCTGACGATACCTAGAGTGTAAATTGATCAGGGGAACTGATTTCCTTAATTATCTTAATTTCTTTAATTCCCTTGTCCTCCTTAATTCATCAATAACATCTGATGAATGTACCTCTAAAACATACCTCAGTTCCTTACACTTATTTTTATCTCTCACTGCTAGTATCCTGTCCACATCACCATTCTCTCTTGCTTAGACTAAAGCAATCACCTCCTTACTGGATGTTTCTCTTTCTATTGCTCATATATATCTAATCTCCACAGAGAAGCCAGAGGAATCTTTAAAAAATATGTATCAGTTCATGTTAGTCCCCTGTTTAAAACTCTCAAATGGCTTTCCTTTCTACCTAGAATAATCTTGTTTTGGTCTTCTATCTCCTACTTAGAATAGCTTGCCCTGCTCTCTCTCTCTCTCTTTCTCTGATATTTTATTCTTCCCTTCACACACTAGTCGAAGGTCTCTCTGTCCATTCTGTTTCTTACACATGCCGAAATTTTTCTATCTGAAGACACTTACACTTGATCATGACACAATTCTTAGGATCATCATTGACTTCTCTCTTTCTTTCATACCCCATATTGATTCCATTCATAAATGTTATTAACCCTACTTTCAGAATGCATCCAGCCTCTAACCATTCTTAAACCATCCATCCTACCACCTGGTCCATGCCAGCATCCTCTTTTGCCTTGATTATTGTCATAGATTCCTGTCTAGTCTTTCTCCCTACAGTCTCTTCTCAACAGAGTAGCCAGTCAACTTGTTAAACAAAATTCCAGCTATGTCATTCTTGGCTCTAAAATATCTCATCTTGTTATCTTTTGCTCAGAACCCCCCCACTTCACTCACAGTAAAATTCAATTGCCTATAATGCCCACAGCTCCCTGCACCCCAGTCTCATCTCCCTGCTACCCATTTTCACTTGATCCAAATGGGCCTTATTGGGGTTCCTTTAACATGCTAGTCACCCCTTGTCTCTCAGAACATTTGCACATGCAGTATTATCTGCCTGGAATGTTCTTCCCCCAAATATTTCCATAGTTTGCTTAGGAATTCTTTCAAGTCTCTGCTCAAATGTCTCCAAATAAATGTGACCTTCTCTGACCACCCTATCTAAAACAACCCCTCCTCTCATCATCTTACACCCAGTATTCCCTGGCTCCCTAACACTACTTCTATCCCTTACTCTGCTTTATTTTGCTTCGTAGAACTTTCACTTTTTAACACATAATATTTTTACCTATTTATTCTGGTAGTCAAGAAATCAACCAAGGCTTTTACAATTCTGTGACGTACAAACAGAACTGTAGAGTAGAAAATTCTGAGAAATAAAGGGCAGTGAAGATTAGAGCTGAGTGCCCACTGTAGGGAACTATCTCATATCAAAGAGAATCATTCAAAAATCAGTGCAAGCATGGGTGCTGTGGTTTGTTTGAATAATTTAGGCAGCTCTGCAACCAATGCACCAGAGGTGGGTAATTTTCTGCTCTATTTTTCCAGAACATGAGATGAAGCTATCACTGACATTATTCCCACTTTCAAAAATGTTCATGAAAAGGCAAATCTGAGATAAGTGGCACAAAAACAAGCTTGTGGTATTCACTTCAGGTATTGCTGAGCTATTTAAATGAGAACAAGCAATTTGGTTCTCTCATCTGGAGTATTTTACTGAAAGTAGAATGTGAAATTTTATGTTTTGTTTTTAAAAGTCTTTTGGTTTCTCTGATTTGATTTTTTTTCTGCTTTGCTGAAAAAAATAAAGCTTGCTTAACTTATTCTGTATTTTTTTAAATGTCCAAATAGATTTAATGTTGTGATAATAACTCCAGCTAAAATTAAACTGAGCTAATTTTAAAGTCACATAAAATTTTTTCTAATATCTTTAGCTAGAGAGATTTAAATACACATATTTTCTGGTAAAAGAGGAGTCTGTGTTAAAAATATATTTCTGGTGATAAACATTGATGGGAGTTGAAAATGCAAGCCTTATTTTAACCCTCCACTCAGAAATTTCATACACATCCCACAGGAAAACCAAATGAAAGAGAGGCAAAATCTCCTTGCAACAGATGAAGAGTAGTTTTTCCCCATCAAGTCTGAGGGGCTCAACTTCATATCCTTCCCACTCCTGGAAATGTTACAGAGTACTTTCATAAACCTAATGTCATTTTATCCTCTGAAAATTCTATGGAATTGACAAGATAGCTATTTTCGTCCCTATTTTATAGTAAAAAAATGATATAATGTGATATAATATCACATTATATCACAGATATCATGTGATTAAATGACTTTGATAAAATCACATCTCTAGTAGGAATGTATCCATTTAGCAGAAAATAGCCATATAGTCCCACTTCATACTGAAGACTTAATTGCTCAACTTCACATAAAAGTGGAGTGCCCTCTCTCCAGAAAACCTTAGCAGGATCATTGATGTTCATAATTAGATTTTATGGAATGGCAGAGGAATTATGAAATGGGGTCACCATCCTGAGGGCCCTTACATATGCAAATAATTCACCAGAAACATGAACGAGAAATACTCAATCATCTAACATTTGTGCTTTGAAACATGTCCTTGAAGGAGAAGAGATCAAGTTACGCACTTGTTTAGATGGCAGGTGGACCATACTTTTGGAACTTATACTAGGAAGGCCTCAGTTGACTGTAACATCAAGCTGCCATCTCCAAATGGAATCAAGAGCTGTAGACCAATGGTCATGATTTTAATTCTTGGTGCTCTCACTACACTTCTACATATTTCTGTAGAATAACTAAGTGTAAAGTGCTTTCAAATAAAAATAGCTATATATAGTCAGGATACCGGGAAATCTAAATTTACTTGAAAGAAGAAATAGAAGTTTGAATCTTCACTGTCTACTTCTAAAAATAAAAGAAAATTTGATGAGCCAGCCTCATTCTGTGTACTATTTTAGAAAAAGAACAAACACAGAGGAACCTCAGTAGTGTCAGCTGTCATCATCAAGTTCAGACTTGAGTGTTTTTTTTCCAGGTTCTGCCAAAAACCCAGCTGGGAGAAGTGGTACTACATGACCTATGCTATTCTATCTCCTTTAGATACTTCAGATTCTATCCCTAAACAGGCTTAACCACTAAACAGTAGAAAACTGTTGTTATGCTCCTTAGTACATAGTTTCACTTGTTTTAATGTTTTCTGTAATACTTTATCAAATACTAGTAACAGCAGCAGCAACAACAAAAATCCAAAACGGCCGTATGGAATTTCTGGCTCCAACATTCTGGTGTTTACTCATGGTATATCTTTAGTACCTTCGACAGTGCTGCACAGACGTTAGCTGTTCAGCAAATACTTGTTGAGTAAAGGCTACTTTAAGGGATTGATTTTTATCCTAAGCTCATTAAAATGCGATTGAAAGGTTTTCATGGGAGAAGCGACATGATTAGAATTGCATTTTATTACATTTACTCTTTCAGCTACCTGTGAAACGGATTAGAAAAACACAAGTAAAGAATTAAAAAAAAATTATTAAAAATATTGTTGATAACAGCGATTCTTGTTTTAAGACAACAATCTTACTAATGTGTATAACACTGTAGGCTTTTTACTTAAATGTATACTTTTTATTACCATGGGGAGAATTCCCTCATCTTATTTTAGTTGTTTTAGACTGGACATTTAAACAGGTCATTAAATGCTGTCAAACCTTTTCCTGAGAAGATACTTTGAAGGTAAATAATTGAATAGATGAAAAAAAATGAGGAAAAAAGAAAATAAACGGTATGAAAGAAAAGGAGACTGAATGCACCCAAAGTATGGTTCTACAAGTTTATTAATGGCTGGCCATACATACCTAAGCTTAACTGCAGAGGCAGTCCTCATTTTTGTTTACCCAGGGATACAAAAACCTCATTAATAGTTGGACATCAATACATGTTTGTAGAATTAGCTACTTAGTTAAGTCATTCTTATATTTTCCAAAAGTTCTTATATTCCATAAAGGAAGCTATACTGGAAATATTTTACTTTTATTCCTTTCTCCTGCCTTCTCTATTGGAGCAGAGATACCTATGAGGCTCAAGGAGGTGTGGATTTTTTTCTTTCTTTCTTTCTTTTTTTTTTTTTTGTGGGGAGGGAGGGTAATAAAGCAATAAATACAGTGAAATGGTCTTTTCCTCTTCCTATCGTGGAATTGATTTTGTTTTCCTAGGTTCATTTTTAGTGTAACTTTATATACTCTCCTAGGCTGGAAAGAAATCAACTCTGAAGTTTGAAACGCACACATTCCATGATGGTTTCCTTAAGAAGACTGAGAAAGAGTTTGCCTGCATATAAATTCATGTTTGCAGGCAAAGGCAGAGGAGAATGTAGCCTACACTTCTGTCCTGTTGTCACTTAGGTGGCTCATTTGCACTGATAATAGCCAAAACTGGCTTATTAATCCCTCAGACATTTGTCTGGCAATAGAATTGTTCCTCTCTAATTAGGACCATGCACAAAATCAGACAAGAAGTGCCTCAGGCTATCATTCAACACTCTATCACAGCCAGACCATCCAGCAAAAACCTTCAGAAATGCTCTCCATCTCCTTCACATGCAAAGTATCTGCAGCTAAGTTAAGATGCTAATGACTACGCTGATGACTCCAGCATGAAGATGTTGGAGTGCCACTGAGAAGGAAATGTTTCTCCACTGCCAAAACTATTTAGAATATTTCAAACAACTAGACATTTTATTTCTGTGAGGTCTCCTGCTCCACAGGTTTTGAGTATAGAAAGATAAATTTTATTTTTTCATCACTGAAGTCTGTAATTGTGATGGGTCAGATATGAAAATGGGGTGTTCTAAATGTCATTTCAATATCGTTCCTCTAGCTACATCAAAAAAGAAGTTGAGTGGACCTCTTCACCTCATCAGGACACCGCCCGGGAGAGGAGGTTCCAATATTCTGTTTAGGTCCTTGGCCTCCTTATTAGCCCTTCGTCCCTGCTGTCTTTAGTTACTCTCCTGTTATGGATCATCTGTTTTCACAAAGATATGCCTTACTACAAAGTACTTTCCTTCACTGGAATAACAAATTATTGTGTAAGAAGTGTTTTTAGTGTAAGTTTATTATAAAACTAAACTAATTCTCTCATTCCCATTCCACATCTGCTTCTCCCTCCCATTCCTCAGTCTTCTTTCTCTCATCAATGATACCTCCACCTTACATCAGGGCAGAAACAGGAATGTCACCTTCGATATCTCTATCTTTATCACCCTCACATCTGTCCATCAAGTGATCTCAATCATAATTTATAAATATATCTTAAATCTGAGGTTTTCTTCATTTCCACTGTTACCACTCTATTACAAGACACCTTTTCTTCCAACTGGACTCATATTATAGCCTCCAAGTAGGGTAATATCTAAATGTAATAATTGAGAGTATAGTAAGACAATACAAGTATTTATGTATTACCAGTAAGCAGGTGGAAAATATAGTTTAAAAAATTGTCCAGAGAAAGTTAATGGCAGACATTCATGTTTCTTGGCACAAATTAAACCTCAAAGACTTATTCATGTATTGAGGGTGTAGACAAAATATTGAGTAAATGCAGACCTGCAACATTCTCTTGGAAGTGACAGGTATCTATTTTATGTTTTGTATTTGTAGCTCAATTCCAATTAAAATATCATGAGGATTAAGTTTTGTATTTCACAAGAAACATGTCAAATACGGTCGAAGCAGCTCCACACACAAGTGAATGCTTGGATAAGATAAAGAATATTTGGAAACCAAAAGAGATAAATCACCATGAGATTAAAAGGAAGAAAATATGAAACATCAGAGCTGTGAGCAAGGGCTGCTGCCAACAACCTCAAAAGGTTATTGAAAATATATTGAAATCTTAACAGTTTGGTTTTGTGTTAGATAACAAAAGGATAACTGTTTATCCATATGTCTTAAATGCATAGAAAACCAGCACTATGTTTCTTCCCTAAAGCCTGAAGACTTCCCCATCTCTGAAATGAATACCAGAAAAGCACCATCCACCGCACCTGGGAAGCAGCAAGGTTTGTCTTCCATTGGCTTGTCCGTGGGGAAAAATGAAAACTTCAAAATGGTGTTAGAAAAATGTGTGGGGTCAAGAAATTAAGAGCCAATTAAACACCCTGTTTTCAGTGCTGACTAGGAAACTGCTATGTAAGACACTTACACAGTCCAGAGCATATTTGACTTCCCGCCAAAACAATACAAAATGACAGGATAAAGATGAGCTCATAGTGAATTTATCCAAATCACACAGAATGAACCATTGTTGGAGAGAATCACAGATTCAGTAAGTAGAAGAATTTAGATACTTAGAACTAGAAATAAACAAAATAGTCTGAAAGAAAATTTATAATAAGTTTATCTAAGTGTTCAAAAAGATAAAGAACAGAATTCATAAGGTAGGAATAAAAAATGCATAAAAAGAATTAGAAAATTTGAAAAGAACCCAAGTAAGTCTAGATATAAACATAACTTTTTTAATTCAAAAATATTTTATATATTATATGAGATATAGATATCATATATGATAATATATAATATATGATATATAATATATACAAGATAACATATGATGTATATGATATCCTATATATGATTATACATTATATATAACTCTATTATACATAATTCTATATGATGTAATTACATATTATAATTACTTATACAGTATATATAGGATGTCATATATATCATATATTATAACTATATATGATATATATGATTAGATATAATTTTATATATATAAATTCTGAATGTAAATATTGAATAGTAAACCACATACAGTTAAGATAAGATTCATCTGGACAGTAAATCTAAATAAATCACTTAGAAATGTACCACTGAGAGAGAAAGGGGTGGAAAGCATTAAAATATTAGTTAAGGGATGTAGAAGCCAGAATTAGATCTAATATATGACCAGTAAGCAAAATTTTAATTAATCACAGTTAATAATTTTCTAAAGTTGAGGAAAAATAAATTCTCAAATTGAAAGAGTACACTGAGACTTAAGCAGAAAAAAATTTAAAAAATTAAAAATCACAGAATCATAGTACAATGTCATGATTTCAAAGACAAAATTATTATAAAAGCTATTAGAAAATAAAAATTGCTTATAAAAATAAATTCTCAATTGGCAGCATAATTCTTATCAGTAATAATGGATTTCAATATGTAAAGGGATTCCATCCTTAAAATGCTGAGGGAAAATTATGTTGAATAATTCAGATTTTAAATCAAATATGCATAATTTAATTAAAATCCATATTAGTCTGTGATATGGTTTGGCTGTGTCCCCACCCAAATCTTGTCTTGAATTGTAGTTCCCATAATTCCCATGTGTTGTGAGAGGGAGCCAGTGGGAGGTAATTGAATCACGGGGGGCAGTTTCCCCCATACTGTTCTCATGGTAGTCAATAAGTCTCACACGATCTGACGGTTTTCTAAGGGTTTTCCCCTTTCACTTGGCTCTCATTCTCTCTTGCCTGCTGCCATGTAGGATGTGCCTTTTACCTTCCACCATGATTGTGAAGCCTCCCCAGCCATGTGGAACTGTGAATCCATTAAACCTCTTTTTCTTTATAAATTACCCAGTCTCCGGTATGTGTTTATTAGCAATGGGAAAACAGACTAATGGAGTCTGAATAGGCGAGGTTAGTCTGTGGATTTCTGACAAATGGATTTACACTGTGGAAGGTGCTTCCTTTTTATTAACTTTTCACAAGGAAAATAAAATGAAAAATAAAATTAGGTTCTTACTTCATACCTTACACATGTGTTATATGAGATAACATTGAAAGGTTGGGCAAAGCCAATTCCTCTAGGTCTATGCAAGCCATGGTAAGGAATTTGGATTTTATTCTAAGTGAGGAGTTACTTGAGGATTTTATTTATTTATTTATCTATCTTTTTATTTCTGTAACCCAGGACAGGGCTGAGAATTTTAAAGCAAGCAAATGAAGTAAACAGATTTATGATTTTCAAAGGTTACTTTTAAAAGTGTGAATGGACTATTGAATAAAATTAGAAAGACTATTGGGAGAAAAGTGCAGTAATCCAAGTAAGAGATGATAGTGGTTTTTAACTGGAGAACTGGCAGTGAAGATAGAGAGAAATATAATGTAGCTTAGCCTGAGAAAGCATATTATGTTTACTTTTTATTTAGGGAGCAGGAGTGAGGGACTACAGGAGTGATGGAGTAACAGAAGATGGAGAACCACTGTGAGTTATCTTATTGAACTGGGTGACTGCTAAGTGCCAACTGTTAGGTCTGTGGGACTACACTGGTAAGAAGGTAAGTAAGTTGCATCTTAGAATCATCCCCCGAAGGTCAAGAAGGATAAAAAAATCATGCACTGGTTTAAGTTTTCTCTTGGTGTGCTGAGCTCCCTGAACTTCTGGGTTGCACAAGTCTGGGCATGAGTGTTGAGCAGGGTCCTGAGCATCATAAACAAGAAAGCCCCAGATCAAGAGACCACAGATACAGAGATGGAAGGAGGAGAGACACCGTTAGGTTGCACCTACATGAATTTGGTCAGAATCCAAGCAAAGCTAGAACAAGAGACAGGTGAGGCCAAGAAGGCCTTAGGTGGTATGTAAGAGGCCTCTGGTACAGAATAATTTGGTATACATTTGGGAGATAAAAAGAATAGACAGCTTTTTAAATTGGATGGTAATGTGGTGGGGTGGTGAGGGAAAGGAAGGAAGGACTTGAGATTGGGTGGAGACAGATCTGATTACATGCAGAAATTGTGATATTAGAGCATGAATAATGGTGTACCTCAACAACACTCAGGGCTTCCCAGAGGAAATAAGGGCTGACAAAGATTTAAACAATCAAATAGGTTGATGAATATGAGAAAAACAAGCAGTGACAAGATATAATTTTTCAAGACCTAGGGAAAAGTCTTGTGTGAAGCCCTGGAAGCAAAAGTTGGGTGCATGTATCATTTGCAGAACAGTATGCCTGAACAGAGAATCTGGATGATTAGGGAGGAAGGTAATAGCAAAACATGATAAGGGAAATATAGAAGCAGAAATTCTGTAGAGCCTCCTAAGCTATGGGTAGGGGTTGGGTTTTATAACAGTAAGAATCCATTAAACGAGATCTTTTAAAGATTTTTTGAAAAATCATTCTGTCTATAAAGTGAAAATAGATTGGAGAAATACAGGATTGGAGCAACAATGCTAGTTATGTGGCTGTTAAAATAGACTAAGTAAGAGATGAGAGTGATCTGAACTAAGGTTATGACAGTGAGATGGAAATTAATGGATCGATTCCAAGAGATGCCAAGACTTCTGGCTTGAATAAGTGGTTGGATAAAGGGTTGGTAGAGACAACATATATTTTAGACAGAGTGAACCTGAAGGTCCTGCAAGACATGAAGTGGCAACATTTAAAACATAGTTAAAGGGCTGCTGGACGTCATAGACTATCCAAGTTTCAAAACCATGAATTGAGACTGGCATAAATCTGCAAATTTGTGCAATTATATTCGTCATTGTTCAGGATTTTATGCATAGTCTTGGAGGAAATTGACAGCTAAATTAGACCCACAACATGGGTTTGTCAGCAATTGTGATAGAAGAATAATCTATGTTCTTGAGAAAAGACTCGAATATATATTGGTAAGAGAGTCTCATTCATAATGGACAAAAAAATCTAAGCTGAATTAAGACAGAAGTGGACAGAGTAAAGGGCTGAAGAGAAGAAAATAAAATACCACATTACTGGCAGTCCCTGTGCGGGGGAGGAGGAACTGCTTTTCTTCTCGTGGATCACAGGGCTTCCTTCATAGAGGCTGGCCTATACAGAGTTGGGCAGCTGGAATTGTACTTTCAGAATATCTATGCTATCAGCCTAGCACAGAGTTTTAAATACTGTTGCAATACCCACCACATCCCACCCAGAGGAGCCCTGGAATCTTCATGAGAGATAGCAGTGCTCTTCTTGTGGAGTTTATTAAGGCTTACTGACTGCTTTTACCCTCAGACTATTGGGAACCAAAAATATTTCTGTCGTCTGGACCATGGAAAACAAAGACCAGGCAAAAGAGATAGGGGTGAAGTAAGAGATGAGTGTAACTTTGACAGGTATCACTATCAATAGTGACATCTCAAATATTTAGGGGAAGCACCACCACATGGTTATCAACACTATTACATATGTGTTATTTTATTATATTTGAAGACTATTATATGAAGACTAAATCTGAAATACTAGAATATTAATAATGAAAAGTAATATCTTGACCAAGGGTCCTGATACAGTATGATTTGATTTGCTTCATTAAGGGCTGGATGGCAATATTTTTCTTCAAATTTCCAGTAGAGAAATTTCATAAAGTTTCATCTACTGTCACCTTTTAGGAGGTGACATCTTTTAATACTTTCCAGGTTGAAAACTCTTGAGATAAGCCAATGAAAGTTTATCTCCCAATATAGCCCCTATACCACCTTAACACAAAATACTGGATAGCTGGCTTTCTGACACAGTGCATAGCATTCACATGTCAGGGGCTTGTAGCTCCCATAACAAGTCCTAGCTGGAGGCAGAGAGAAGGGAGGGATAGCAGTCGAGTGGGGAGGGCAGGGACATGCTATACAGTAACCAGGGTGCAAGGAATATCCATGTTTCATTCTTTGTTGCTTAGATCCAAAGTGCAAAAGGAAAATCAAACTGTCTATTATTTTATTCAGATAGGAACATTAATGACAGAGGATGGGAAATAAAAACTACCCTGGGCTAGTCTCAATACTAGGATAAACAAGATAATTGTATTTCTGTCTAGTTTTCTTGAAGTCATACCTTTTCTAACTAATTGAAAGGTATTGTTAATGAGCAAAAATGGGTACACCGCTTCTTGTTTTTTATAGTACACAAAAATCTTCAATGTTGTCCCGAGTATGACCCATGTGAGCTAGTACCACAAATGTGGCAGCCATCTCCAGTATAGATTCCATGTAACATGTTAAGTAGTTGGCTGTGTGGTTTTACAAATGACCTCGTTCAGAACTAATCTCCTTGTATTAAATCAGCTCTTTTAGGAGTAAGTCACTCCCTTTCCCTTATAAATCCAGTGGGAGAATGTTAACACTGTTATGAAGCCAGTCACATTAGGACATTGTATCTTGTCATTATGCATAAAAGGCCATATTTTTCCCTAGTTCTTGATGCAGATCTGTGAAAGGAATACAATTAATAAGAATGTTGGATTCATAGAAACCTCTGAGTCAGAAAGTCTGTGGATGCCAGCATTGTGATTATGGCTTCATCACTTGATAATCACAGAGATGATTTTTAAGGGTTCCCACATGAGCATATTGCACATTACAATTTTTTCCCTGTAATGTGGAATCAGCCCAGAAAGCTTGTTAATTGCTTAAAGTACTCCAAGCTTGTTTGAATAGAAAATCACACTGAAACCTATTAGCTCACTTTTCTCTCAGCATGGCCAGTTATACAGACCTGACTATCAGTTCCAGAAAAGTTATTTTTTAAAGGAAGTCTTTCAATATTTCATCGATTCTCAGCACACTTGGTGGCTTAAAAATATCCTCCATAATTTTCTTCCCTGTGATGTATATATAAACAAATCTAATTCCTTGTTAGATGCTAATTGCAACAGCTATATAACTGTGCCTCTGAAACTTCCTAGAAACATTATCCATATGTCAAGGTCTTCCCCTAACTACTTATTACCCTAATGAGAGAATTATTTCTTCTTTCTCCTGCTGCCCGCCTTCCATCTATTTTGTAAGGTAAATACTGTAAACTAAAAATAAAATCCCATGCCCCATCATCTGACTGAAAGGACTCCCTCTTGACCATGGGGACCCCAGAAACCTTGAAACTGAGTTCCTGGCCATGATGGGATGATAGGTCAGACATGTCTCATTATACCTGTTCCCTTTTGCAGTTTACACAAAACAACTGACCAGAATTTATACAAAAATAGAGGTCATAAGGCTGACAAAACAGACCCTTTGTGACAATATGATACCAAATTATAAACAGGACCTAAATTATAAACAGGACCTAAAGCCACGCCAGGCAAGGATTAAGTTATGCACCCCTACACTTAAAGGATAAACTATGTTCTAACTGCCACAAGTTTTTTCTTTTTTTCTAGAAGCTAAACAAGCACTGGCTTTGAGATAACAATGTCGAAGCAGCTGCAACTTGCCAACCACCAGACAATGACTAACTGAGCCCCCTGTTCCACAAGCCATAACTATAGCTTCAAGCAGACAAGAGACTGATTTCAGTAACTTTCTCCTGATAAGAAGGCCATTGACCATGGACTGGTCCCGGCTGGTTTACTGAGACTGCACACTTGTGTGCCTTCATGTCCTGAAAAGATCTTTTGAAGTGTAGGGCCTAATTGTAATACATTTGAATGTTAATTCTCTACCCCAAGGTGAGCATGAAATGCATGTAACATGCATGTTTGCTTATCACTCAATCACATGACCTCCTTTTCATGCATATTCATAGCTCCTCCTATATCCTGTTAAATATGCCTACTTGGCTAACCCGTTCAAGCTTAAATTCCTACCTTACTCTCCCTTCCTCAAAGTGCTGGCTTTCTGTTTTAAGCCAGGGGCTGTGCTTTCTGCCTGCAGGTTGTAATCCCCTTCAAAGAAATAAAGCTCTCTTTTCTAAATTTGTATATACTGCTAACAATATCTACTATAAAAATATCATCAGCATAACTCAAGATTATCAGCGATAACGCACCAATTTCAGATCCAGTGGTGATAACTGTAATAGGATGCCCTGGAAAATCATCAGAGGCATAGGTTTTATGAGCTTGGAAAATCTCCTTCATTGTTGATATGTTTTTGAATTAACAAATTTTACCTGGTAGTTAAGGAAGCTTCTAGAAGACAAATAAAGCAAATGATCAATGTTTTTACATATAAAAACATACTGGAAGGCTTTGAGGTAGAGGGAGATGTTATGATGCAAAATTTCAAGGAAGAACCTTAGAACTGAGGAGAAAATCTAGTCTGAGAGAAGGAGATCGGTATGCAAAGCTAAACTCAAATTCTCAGTATTGTTGGAAAATAATAGTTCTGCATGTAATGTAAGGGATCTTAATCTGACTCAGTGTAACAGACACTGAAATATGATGCTCAATCCCCTACTTTAGAACTTTTCCCCAGCTGCCAGAATATTGTCTACCAATGACTCAGCTGAGTCTGCTTCCTGGTACCACTCCTGGCACCAAATGTCTTACGTTGAGTCCTTCTCTGGAAATTTCCCTCAGAAGAGGAGAACTGCCTTAGTGAAGGATATACCCTAATCACTCTGTGATTGGCTGAGGCCTCTGTTGCACTGCATTGTGATTCGATTTTTCCCTTTGCCTAATCCCTCTTTCCTTGCTCCCTTATAGGTGATAAAGGATTAGGAGATCCAATTACAAGATCCCAATAGCCATCCTGCCACAAAGTGTCTGGATCTGAAACAGATGCATCATTGCTGCTAATCTGGAGTTGTACTGGTGGTACTTTTATAGCAGATATCTAGCCATTTACTTGGGTAGCTCTTTGACTTGAGAAAAAAGGAATACTCAGATACTTCATGGACTGTTGGCCATAGGGTACCTGCTGACATTGATATCTGGTGATCCAAAGTGTTATCATGACTCCCTGGTTAGAGTTGGAACACAGATGGGCCAGGTAGCAAATGAAGGAGTCCTGGGCCACATTTGCAAAGAGTGCGTCCACGGGACCATGCACACACTGGTCCCACGTGGAATATTGAAATGGATGCACTTAATATTTGTCAGAAAACTCACTTTGATTTCTTGATGGGTTGGCTAAGAATTATTATGGTGGATAAGCCCAAATCCAAGCAGTTCAACGTCTTCCTCTGTGTAGTCCTGGCTCTTTTTGGGCTGAAAGAGAAGGCTCTTTTTCAGACAGTGATGTGCTTGTAAATATTTAACAATTGAATCTCCAGGGGGAAAAAAGCCTCTATTTGTCAAATTTTCCAAATTCTAAGATGTCATCTCCCACTATGGCCAATTTAAAATTACCAACTTGCTGTCATTGAGTGCAGAGTTGGCAAGAGATGTGCATAACTGCAAATCGGTACAGGTTGGCTTCAGCCTACTACGGCAGTGTGGTTTCTGACTGTGCTCCTCAGGTTTATCCAGTATGAAGATACCTGCTCAGAGTTCATTTCTGGAAAACTCTATCCAAAATATCCAGCCATTTCTCATGTTCCATACATCTGGTATATATGGTACATCTAGAAATCCGAAACATCTCAAGGTCCAAGTGACCATGTTATAGGATCTAGTTTTATAAAACTCCATGCAAACCAGAAATATTCACTCCCATACCCATTTTTTTAGTGCAGTGACAAGCAGAAACCCTGAATGAAGCAGCTGTGGCATTGGTGCTATGGGTGTGTGAAGAAACATGCTAAGCATGACAGCTGTCTTAGCTAAGCAGTAGGTGATGCATCTGGAACAAGTATGAATGGTGGCTTGAGCCAGAAATGTGACATTGGAGTTGCCCAACTACATATATTCAAAGATGGTATGATGTTAAGGTAGCAGCATGACCCCTTATCTCTGCACCCCGATCCCTTATTTCCTCGCCCCGACCCTTTATCTCTGCGCCCTGATCCCTTATTTCCATGTCCTGACCTCTTATCTCTGTGCCCCAACCCCTTTCCCACTTTTCTGGAGGGTAAGAACCCCCGAACCCCTTCCCTCCATGTCTCTACTCTCTCTTTTCTCTAGGCTTGCCTCCTTCACTATGGGCAACCTTCCACCTTCCATTCCTTTCCTCCTTCTTCTCCCTTAGCCTGTGTTCTTAAAAACCTAAAACCTAAATGCCTTATTTTCTTCTGCAATGCCACTTGACCCCAATACAAACTCGACAGTAGTTCCAAATAGCCAGAAAATGGCACTTTCAATTTTTCCATCCTACAAGATCTAAATAATTCTTGTCGTAAAATAGGCAAATGGTCTGAGGTGCCTGACGTCCAGGCATTCTTTTACACATCAGTCCCTCCCTAGTCTCTGTTCCCAATGCAACTCATCCCAAATCTTCCTTCTTTCCCTCCCACCTGTCCCCTCAGTCCCAACCCCAAGCGTCACTGAGTCTTTCTAATCTTCCTTGTCTACAGACCCATCTGATCTCTCCCCTCCTCGCCAGGCTGAGCCAGGTCCCAATTCTTCCTCAGCCTCTGCTCCCCCACCCTATAATCCTTTTATCACCTCCCCTCCTCACACCTGGTCCAGCTTACAGTTTCATTCCTCAACCAGCCTTCCCCCACCTGCCTGCAATTTCCTCTTAAAAAGGTGGCTGGAGATAAAGGCATAGTCAAGGTTAATGCTCCTCTTTCTTTATCCGAACTCTCTCAAAATCAGTTAGCGTTTAGGCTCTTTTTCATCAAATATGAAAAACCCAGCCCAGTTCATGGCTCGTTTGGCAGCAACCCTGAGACACTTTACAGCCCTAGACCCTGAAAGGTCAGAAGGCTGTCTTATTCTTATTCTCAATATGCATTTTATTTTTTTACCCAATCTGCTCCCAACATGAAATGAAGCTCCAAAAATTAAATTCCAGCCCTCAAACCCCAAAACAGGACTTAATTAACCTCGCCTTCAAGGTATACAATAATAGAGTAGAGGCAGCCAAGTAGCAATGTATTTCTGAGTTGCAATTCCTTGCCTCCACTGTGAGACAAACCCCAGCCACATCTCCAGCACACAAGAACTCCAAACGCCTGAACCACAGCTGCCATTCCTCCAGAACCTCCTCCCCCAGGAGCTTGCTGCAAGTGCCAGAAATCTGGCCACTGGGCCAAGGAATGCCCACAGCCCAGGATTCCTCCTAAGCCATGTCCCATCTGTGCAGGACCCCTTTGAAAATCGGACTGTTCAACTCACCTGGCAGCCACTTCCAGAGCCCCTGGAACTCTGGCCCAAGGCTCTCTGACTCCTTCTCGGCTTAGCAGCTGAAGACTGAAACTGCCCGATTACCTCAGAAGCTTACAGGACCATCACAGATGCTCTAAGTAACTCTCACAGTGGAGGGTAAGTCCTTCCCCTTCTTAATCAATATGGAGGCTACTCACTCCACATTACCTTATTTTCAAGGGCCTGTTTCCCTTGCCTCCATAACTGTTGTAGGTGTTGACGGCCAGGCTTCTAAATCTCTTAAAATTCCCCAACCGTGGTGCCAACTTAGACAATACTCTTTTATGCACTCTTTTTTAGTTATCCCCACCTGCCCAGTTCCCTTATTAGGCCGAGATATTTTAACCAAATTATCTACTTCCCTGACTATTCCTGGACTACAGCCGCATCTCATTGCCGCCCTTCTCCCCAACCCAAAGCCTCCTTTGCGTCTCTCTCTCATATCCCCCCACCTTAACCCACAAGTATGGGACATCTCTACTCCTTCCCTGGCAACCGATCACATGCCCATTACCACCCCATTAAAACCTAATCACCCTTACCCCGCTCAACGCCAACATCCCATCCCACAGCACGCTTTAGAAGGATTAAAGCCTGTTATCACTCGCCTGCTACAGCATGGCCTTTTAAAGCCTATAAACTGCCCTTACAATTCCCCCATTTTACCTGTCCTAAAACCAGACAAACCTTACAGGTTAGTTCAGGATCTGCGCCTTATCAACCAAATTGTTTTGCCTATCCACCCCATGGTGCCAAACCCATATACTCTCCTATCCTCAATACCTCCCTCAACAACCCATTATTCTGTTCTGGATCTCAAACATGCTTTCTTCACTATTCCTTTGCACCCTTCATCCCAGCCTCTCTTTGCTTTCACTTAGACTGACCCTGACACCCATCAGGCTCAGCAAATTACCTAGGCTGTAGTGCTGCAAGGCTTCACAGACAGCCCCCATTACTTCACTCAAGCCCAAATTTCTTCCTCACCTGTTACCTGTCTCGGCATAATTCTCATAAAAACACACGTGCTCTCCCTGCTGATCGTGTCTGACTGATCTCTCAAACCCCAACACCTTCTACATCCTAGGCATGGTGAGATACTTTCGACTTTAGATACCTGGTTTTGCCATCCTAATAAAACCATTATATAAACTCACAAAAAGAAATCTAGCTGACCCCATAGATCCTAAATCCTTTCCCCACTCCTCTTTCCATTCCTTGAAGACATCTTTAGAGACTGCCCCACCCTAGCTCTTCCTGACTCATCCCAACCCTTTTCGTTACCCACAACTGAAGTGCAGGGGTGTGCAGTCAGAATTCTTACACAAGAACCGGGACCGCGCCCTGTAGCCTTTTATCCAAACAACTTGACCTTACTGTTTTGCCTAGCCCTCAAGTCTGCGTGCGGCAGCCGCCACCGCCCTAATACTTTTAGAGGCCCTTAAAATCACAAACTGTGCTCAACTCACTCTCTACAGTTCTCATAACTTCCAAAATCTACTTTCTTCCTCACACCTGACACATACACTTTCTGCTCCCTGGCTCCTTCAGCTGTACTCACTCTTTGTTGAGTCCCACAATTACCATTGTTCTTGGCCGGGACTTCAATCCGGCCTCCCACATTATTTCTGATACCATACCTGACACCCATGACTGTATCTCTCTGATCCACGTGACATTCACCACATTTCGCCATATTTCCTTCTTTTCTGTTCCTCACCCTGATCACGCTTGATTTATTGATGGCAGTTCCACCAGGCCTAATTGCCATACACCAGCAAAGGCAGGCTATGCTATAGTACAAGCCACCAGCCCGCCTCTTAGAACCTCTCGTTTCCTTTCCATCGTGGAAATCTATCCTCAAGGAAATAACTTCTCAGTGTTCCATCTGCTATTCTACTACTTCTCAGGGATTATTCAGACCCCCTCCCTTCCCTACACATCAAGCTCAGGGATTTGCCCCCGCCCAGGACTGGCAAATTGACTTTACTCACATGCCCCGAGTCAGAAAACTAAAATACCTATTAGTCTGGGTAGACACTTTCACTGGATGGGTAGAGGCCTTTCCCACAGGGTCTGAGAAGGCCACCGCTGTCATTTCTTCCCTTCTGTCAGACATAATTCCTTGGTTTGGCCTTCCCACCTCTATACAGTCTGAGAGCATACAGGCCTTTATTAGTCAAATCAGCCAAGCATTTTTTCAGGCTCTTAGTATTCAGTGAAACCTTTATATTCCTTACAGTCCTCAGTCTTCAGGAAAGGCAGAAAAGATTAATGGTCTTTTAAAAACACACCTCACCAAGCTCAGCCACCAACTTATAAAGGACTAGACAATACTTTTACCACTTTCCCTTCTCAGAATTCAGGCCTGTCCTTGGAATGCTACAGAGTACAGCCCATTTAAGCTCCTGTATAGACACTCTTTTTATTAGGCCCCAGTCTCATTCCAGACACCAGACCAACTTGGACTGTGCCCCAAAAAACTTGTCATCCCTACTATCTTCTGTCTAGTCATACTCCTATTCACCATTCTCAAACTACTCATCCATGCCCTGCTCTTGTTTACACTGCCAGTTTACATTGTTTCTCCAAGCCATCACAGCTGATATCCGCTGGTGCTATCCCCAAACTGCCACTCTTAACTAACTCTTAAAGTAAATAAACAATCTTTGCTGGCAGGACTATGCTGAATCTCCTTAGGCACTCTCTAATTAAATGTCCTAGCTCCTCCCAATTCTTAGACCTTTAATACCTGTTTTTCTCCTTCTCTTATTCCATTTAGTTTTTCAATTCATACAAAACCGTATCCAGGCCATCACCAATAATTCTAAATGACAAATGTTTATTCTAACAGTCCCACAATATCACCCCTTACCACAAAATCTTCCTTCAGCTTAATCTCTCCCACTCTATGTTCCCATGCCGCCTCTAATCCCGCTCGAAGCAGCCATGAGAAACATCGTCCATTATCTCTCCATATCATCCCCCCAAAATTTTCGCTGTCCCAACACTTTACCACTATTTCATTTTATTTTTCTTATTAATATGAGAAGACAGGAATGTTAGGCCTCTGAGCCCAAGCTAAGCCATCATATCCCCTGTGACCTGGAGGTACACATCCAGATGGCCGGTTCCTACCTTAACTGATGACATTCCACCACAAAAGAAATGAAAATGGCCTGCTCCTGCCTTAACTGTGACATTATCTTGTGAAATTCCTTCTCCTGGCTCATCCTGGCTCAGAAGCTCCCCTACTGAGCACCTTGTGACCCCCACACCTGCCCGCCAGAGAGCAACCCCCCTTTGACTTTAATTTTCCTCTACCTACGCAAATCCTATAAAATGGCCCCACCCCTATCTCCCTTCACTGACTCTCTTTTCGGACTTAGCCCACCTGCACCCAGGTGATTAAAAGCTTTATTGCTCACAAAGCCTGTTTGGTGGTCTCTTCACACAGACCCGCATGAACATTCCCACTTTATAGATGTAGAAAGTTAAGATGTAGAAACTGAGGGAAGTTAATTGATTCGATTAAGGACATTCATTAAATACAGCCAGTCAAAGCACACTTGAAATTTTATTTCAAATCTCTTTCTTGACATGTTGCATCTACAGGACATCCTCTTCCATTTTTACCCCCTCAGTGTTTATGGCTGCAACATGGTTGAGGAACTGTGAAAACTAAAATACATATTGAGAAGGGTAATGATATTTCAGTTGACATAAGAATTGATAGTTTCTACTTTGCTTTTTAGAAGTTTGGAGCATCTCCCTTAAGAGAATAGATAAGGGAAAATTAAAATTCATGTAAGATGGAAGATGAAGGAATGTATGATCAAAGTCCATAAATCATGAAAAGTACACATAGAGATTTACCCAAAACAGGAGTATCAGGAGATTTGGGATTGGCTTTATGCTTTTTAAAAGAAAACACAACTTATGAAAGTGAAGTTATATACCTTTTTACTGCAAGGATAGGTATTAAGTGTGAAATGTGGATATATTCCAGAAGATGTTAGATATCCCTAGATATTCATATCTGATATACCATTTTGGGTGACAAGGATTTCAGAGTGTTAGAGCCAGACTAACATTGTGTTAGTGCCACAATGCCCTAAGACCTTGGGCTGATGTGAGGGCGGGGTGTAGGGAGACCCAGGAGGAATCAGTGAGGCTGCAGGGACAAACACAAAAATGAAAACAAGTTGTCAGTCCAAATGGCAGTGTTGAGAAAGAAAGTCTGCATATAAGAAACAGAATAGAATTCTGTTGTAAATGGCCCAGGGAGAGGGCTAAAGACAAAATTCAGAGAAATTCCTTGACTCACAGGACGTTAATTGGCACCTTATAAGGTGCCTAGAGCCTGCCTTAAGAGAGAAAAAGAGAAACTTGTTAAGGGAACAGCAAGGGAGAAAAAAATCCTATCTGGAAAGTCTCAGGACTTGGTCTGAAGTGACCAATGAGAAGCACAGAAATGCTTTTGAAGGGGTTTGTTTTGAAAAATCATGCAAATTTTGAATTCTTATTTATAATATTATCATGTTTGTTTTGCATCTGAGAAACATTAAAATAAAATTAATGCTCCAGGAAAATGTGCCATGAATATTTTCTCTAGGTAGCTCCTATCACTTTAAGGAATTTCTCACCTCAGTTTCTGAGGAGCAGACAGGATTATTTTGGATATTGAATATTACTGGGACCATGTATTATTGTCATTTTTGTTACAACTCTCTATATCTGTTTTTTCTTCCAGACACCACTGTCATTTCCTTTTGAGGAATTACTCTTCTATGCTGGACATAGTCTGGTGAGGTGTTAGGTGACAAGTCTCCATCAGCTAAGAGGTAGGCATTGACATGTACTTGGCCAAAATGAATTCCATCTTGCATTTAAACTTATACAGAGTGACTACAAGTAGTGAGTATCTGTTGATTCCATTGGAAGAAATGACTACAGAATTCCTGCTATGGTACTGTTCCTGTGATTTTGGCTTCCTTACTCTGGGACATGCCTGGGTTCCAAGCCAAGTTCTCCAGGTTTTCCCAGAGATTCTTCAAATTTCCTTTATTTGCCCAATAATTTCCATTTTACTTAAGTTTGTTCTGTCAAAGAATCATCAATACTAGGTATTTTCTTTGCTTTATTGAAACTTGGCAAAAGAAAGAGGAGGGAACAATTTTGCTTACTTTGCACTCTTGTTTTTAAAAATCAAATAGAATAATAAACTACATGGCTGGGCATGGTGGCTCACACCTGTAATCCCAGCACTTTGGGAGGCCGAGGCGGGTGGATCACTTGAGATCAGGAGTTCGAGACCAGCCTGGCCAACATGATGAAACACTGTCTCTACTGAAAATACAAAATTTAGCTGGGCATGGTGGCGTGCGCCTGTAATTCCCACTACTTGGGAGGCTGAGGCACAAGAATTGCTTGAACCTGGGAGGCAGAGGTTGCAGTGAACCAAGATTGTGCCACTGCACTCCAGCCTGGGTAATGCAGTGAGACTCTGTCTCAAAAATAATAATAATAATAATAAAGTAGAGAATATATCAACTAGGGAATGCTGAGTCCAGGGAGGGTCGTCCTTGTTTGTTAATTCATTTCTTGGCCAGTGAATAGCCCCTGAGGCAGAGACTTCGAGACCCCAACCAGTGACAATTTAATGCACCAGAATTCTGATGGAAGGAACAATAGAAAAAGCCTCTTCTATTAATAACAAGAAATTTGGGGCTAGGGCTGGTAGAAGAGGATCAGAACAGGCATGGGATGTAACTGACATTCTCCCATTTCACAAAAGAGAGGGATGGTCTAGAAGTCAGGGTTTGTCAAGACTAACCAGTGACTCCACTCTGGTGATTTGAGAACTAGGAGAACTGACTCAGGAGTCCGAGAAAGCTGACCTTGACTCTCAATTGTGTCATTACTCACTGTCTAAATTTAGGCAAGTTATTTTAACGTTTCTGAGTTTCAGCTTTCACAATTCATTGAAAAGAAGTCAACAATGCTTAACTCATAGGCTTCTTGTCAGGACTGGAGCAAACAAATATTAATAAAATGCTGAGAAAACATTAAGCTGTCAATAAGATGGTAGCTGTTAATATATCAATATGTCAAATATTGTGCTTAGCATGTTGCATATATGATTTGTTCTGTTAAATCCTTACCACACTTTACAATTTAAGTATATTATTACTCCCATTTTACAGATAAAACATCTGAGGCTTTGGAACAGAGGTAGGAAAATTATGGCCTTCAGGTCAAATCTAGTCTACTACCTGCCTTCTTTTGTTTTGTTCTGCCAGTAAATACATATTTGATTGAGCAGAATAACCACAAAACACACAGAAAATTCTAAGTGTTGAAAGAAAGGTGGAGAAAAAAGTCTTCAGAGGTGTGTGTGGGGAACCTAGTCAGACTGTCCTTCTTAACGACACAAAGGGCCACTCTATTAAGGGAAAATACCAATCTTAGGTTAGTACAGTGTTAGAAATGTAACAACTATTTAAAGCATTGAACTATTATTATTACTTTTGTTGCTATTATAATAATATTACACCTTCAAGCAAGAGCTTAGCTATAGATATGGACTCTGAAACTGTCTGCTTTTATAAATAAAATTTGATTGGAACACAGCCAGAGTCCTTCATTAATGTATTGCCTGTGGCTACTTTTGCATTGCAAAGGCAGGGTTGAGTAGTTGCAAAAGACAGCAGATGACCTGTAAAGCTTAAAATATTTACTATATTTGCCAATCCCTGCTCTGTGAAAATCAATAACTGCTTGAGGTTGTACAACCATTTTTTCTTTGGATACGTTAATCTATTTGATCTAAAAGGAGACTCGTCAGCAATGGAAACAAAGAAAAAAGATTGCAAAGACACAAATTGTAATGTATATCACATGGGTATAGAAATATTTGTAAAATTTAACAAGTATATAAAGGTAAAAAAAAGTGTATCCATTTAAAAAGCATGTCTGTAGGAATAATCATCTACCTAAAAAGTTGTTACCTCTTGTAGAAAAAGGAAGGGTTTTTGTTTGGTGGTTAAAGGGGACTTTGATCTATATATTTTTTAATTCTAGATGACAGTGAATACATATATTATTTTTGAGTGTGTAATTAACTTTAAAAAAGCAAATTAGATTCTAAAATTGTTATGTATCTTTCAGAGTAGAGATGTGGGTGGGTATCATAGAAAGAAATAATGGTATGTTAATTTCCCACATTTCATACAGAGAGTCATTAAATAGGATTTTCTCTTGAAATTCATATTTCTTGAACTGAAAGGTGACCACTGGTATACATGAAAAAAGATATCTATGTTTAAAATGAGTATAGATAACAAATGAGAGAAAACATAGGTATGTATTATACAATGTAGCAATAAATGGAAGTTGTATATCATTTAGAATTTTCACATTTAAATTATATACTACTATTCTCTCAACTTGGGTGAAAAATATTGAAAGTCAAAATATAGTTTTTATTGTTCTTCACAAGTTTTTTTTCAGAGGTATACAAACCAGAGTGACTTCCTCTTGAATGCGGGTTGGGTAAAATAAGGCTGAGACCTACTGGAATGCATTCCCAGGAGTTAGGCATTCTTAGTGACAGGACGAGATAGGAGGTCGGCACAAGGTACAGGTCACAAAGACCTTGCTGATAAAACAGGATGTGGCAAAGAAGCCAGCCAAATCCCACCAAAACCAAGATGGAGACGAAAGTGACCTCTGGTCATCCTAACTGCTCATTATGTGTTAATTATAGTACATTAGCATGCTAGAAGACACTCTCACCAGCGCCACCACTATTTACAAATGCCATTTCAATGTCAGGAAAATACCCTATATGGTCCAAAAGGGGGATGAACCCTCAGTTCCAGGAATGGCCCACCTGGAAAACTCATGAATAATTTACCCCTTGATTAGCATATAATCAAGAAATAACCATAAAAATGGTCAGCCAGCAGCCCTCAGGGCTGCTCTGTGTATGGAGTAGCCATTCTTTTATTCTTTCACTTTCTTAAGAAACTGCTTTCACTTTATGGACTCGCTCCAAATTCTTTCTTGTGTGAGATCCAGGAACCCTCTCTTGGGGTCTGGATTGGGACCACTTTCCAGTAACAGAAGCACACCTAAGATAGTGACCAAGAATGTTTAATAATGAAGGATAACCAAACATATTTAAGTTAAAAGCTAGTTAAATGGTAAAAATAAAATCTTTTGCTTGAAAAATCAGATTGAAAAATACATAAAATTTAGTGCACATTTACACATCAACTAAAGTAACCTGGACATCTGTTATGCAAAATCTTGTTAGAAATATATTTTAAGAAGCAACAAAATCACAAGAGTAATACAAGATTTCTATACCCTCAGTTGTTGACAAACCAAATGAATAAAAATTAGCATTTAGAAAATCTGACAGATACATTTGAATATGTGTGTTAGTATATATTTGTCAGATTTTATATGCAATACAAATTAAATCCACCTTCTTAATCTTAGGGAATTTTTAATAAGCTGATGACACACTGAGCCATAATAAAATTATGATAAATTTGAAAAGGTATGTGCTACGTCTTATAACAATGCAATAAAACTTGACGAGAAGTCCAAAGTTTAAGAAAACAAGAAAATTAAAATGTCATCAGAATGTTACTTTTAAAAATAACCATTTGTTGAAAGTAGAATTTAGAACTGTTTGCATGGTCTTCTGGAAGATGAACATAAAGTTCCACATATCAAAATATGTGTGATTCAGTACAAATTGTTTACAGAGGAAAACTAATGCATTTGCTATCTGTTAAAAACCATTAGCAGAAAACAAATTTTGTGTTAATTAATAATGCTTCTTAATACTACATGAAAATAGGTAATTATAGTATGCACATGTGATTTGCAATAAAAGATAAAACTGAAATAATTGCTTATGTTACTTGTGTACTAACACATGCATTAAAAGAACACCTACAGTGCATTAATCATATTTCAAAATATAGAAATTATTGATACTTAACATTATGAAGCTTATTTATTTTTATTATAATCCTATTCTCTTTTAACATAAAGGTTGTTGATTTTATGATTATTAAACACTCAGACATTGAAGACAATTTGAAACATGGAAAATTACAAATAAAATACAACCAGTAAACTAACACCTAGAAATACCTAATCTCGAATTTTCATTCTTAAATAGTTATTATCTATTACTCCTGTAATGTCAAATGCCAATATGATAAATACATATTTTTCTATACTTATTATATCTGTGAGGATGGACTGGTTATACTGCAGTAAGAACCCTGAGCCTTGATATTTTTAAAGAAAGTACTATTTCCAGATTTTGCTCCATCAGCTGTTGGCCATTTTCTTTGTCATCCTCGTGAGTTCATGAGGTGACATAGCAGCTGCTTACTATTGAAAAAAATGGTCAGTCCCTGTGGTGGGGAGAAAGAGAGGGTGGCAAATTGTGCCCTGATTCATAGAACTTTCACCTGAAAGTGATAAATACCACATCAGCTTATTTTGAAGCATGTCATTTAATTCAAAGCGGGGGTGAAACTTCAGTTCACTATTTACCTGGAATGAGAATAAAAATATTTTGTGAAGAGTTTTCAATGACTATCACAGTTATACAAGTATGTGAGAATATTGGCAGTTAACTGTGAAAAAAACAGAAACAAGAAAGTATAAGAAATAATTTGAAAAATCTTTGTAAGTGCTAATCCAGCCTCATACTTCCAACAACTTTATCCAATTCTTTGCTACAATAATCAATTTTGCTCATTTGACTTTTGCCAGCTTCCTAAAATACGCTGTTACTTTTTAATTTATTGAAAAGCCATGCTCTTAATTATTCCAAACATGTATTTAACACTGACTCTAAATCTTAGACTTTTCAAAAATTGTTCTATAATTATCTGTGTTTATCATAGGTTAGTTTATTATCTTAACACCCTCATGTCTGAGTCAGCTTTGCAATTCTTAGATAAGTGAAAGTAATCAAAATTAGGATCTATCTTACTAATTTTTTTTTGTCTGTTTGCTGCTATCTCTAGTACAGATAAAATTTTCACCAAAATAAGATTTTGGAAAGAAAATGGTACTAAATTGCTTCATTGAGACAAGAATAGGAAGTACAGTATCCTGCAACATTACCAGAGTTGTTTATCAGTTCCAGGAGCCTTTTGGCAGAGTCTTTAAGATTTTCTAGGTATCCAATTATATCATCAGCAAAGAGAGATAGTTTGACATATTTTCTTATTTGGATACCTTTTATTCATTTTTCTTGCCTGCTTGCATGATAGTCCTACTGGATAGGACTTCCAGTACTATGCTGAATAGGAGTGGTGAGGGTGGACATCCTTGTCTTCTTCCATTTCTCAAGGAGAATGGTTTGAATTTCTGCCCATTCAGTATAATGTTGGCTGTGGGTTTGTTATAGATGGCTCTTATTAAGTTGAGGTATGTTCCTTTCATGCCTTGGTTGTTGAGGGTCAATGTACAAAAATCAGTAGCATTTCTATACACCAACAATGTCCAGGCTGAGAGGGAAATCAAGAACACAATCCCATTTATAATAGCCACAAAGAAAATGAAATACCTAGGAATACAGCTAATCAGGGAGGTGAAAGATCTCTAAGAGGAAAACTACAAAACATTGCTGAAAGAAATCAGAGATGACACAAATAATTTGAAAAACATTCCATGCTCATGGATTGGAAGAATCAATATCATAAAAATGGCCATACTGCCCAAAGCGATTTACAGATTCAATACTATTCCTATCAAACTATCTACATCACTCTTCACAGAATTAGAAGAAACTTTTCTAAAATTTATATGGAACCAAAAAAGAGCCTGAATAGCCAAAGCAATTCTAAGCAAAAAGAACAAAGCCAGAGCCATCATACTACCTGACTTCAATCTATACTATAAATTCACATTAGCCAAAACAGCTTGTAACTGGTACAAAAAGAGACACATAGATTAATAGACTAGGATAGAAAACTCCAATATAAAGCCACACACCTACAACCATCTGATCTTCGACAAGGCTGACAAAAACAAGCAATGCGGAAGGAATTCCTTATTCAATAAATGGTGCTGGGAAAACTGGCTAGCCATAAGCCAAAGATTGAAGCTGGATGGCTACTACCTTTCACTACATACAGAAATAAACTCAAAAGGGATTAAAGAATTAAATGTAAGACCTCAGACTATAACAATCCTACAAAACAACTTAGGGAACACCCTTTTTGATACTGACCTTGGCAAATAATTTTTGGATAAGTCCCCAAAAGCAATTGCAACTAAAACAAAAATTGACAAGTTGGACCTAATTAAACCAAAGAGCTTCTGTACAGCAAAAGAAACTATCAACAGGGTAAACAGACAACCTACAGAATGGATAGGTTATCTCAACAAAGGCTGACGATAGCCTAATATAAAGAATCTATAGGGAACTTAAACAAATTAACAAGCAAAATATAAATAACTCCATTAAATAACGGACAAAAAACATGAACCTACACTTCTCAAGAGAGGCCGGACACTGTGGCTTACACCTGTAATCCCAGCACTTTGGGAGGCTGAGGCGGGTGGATCACCTGAGGTCAGGAGTTCGAGACCAGCCTGGCCAACATGGTGAAACCCGTCTCTACTAAAAATACAGAAATTAGCTGGGTGTGGTGGCAGATGCCTGTAATCCCAGCTGCTGCAGGAGAATCTCCTGAACCCAGGAGGCAGAGGTTGCAGTGAGCCTAGATTGCACCATAGCATTCCAGCCTGGGCAACAAGCGCAAAACTCCATCTCCCCCCACCCCAAAAAAAAAAAAAAAAGAAAGAAGATATACAAGTGGCCAACAAGCATATGAAAAAATTATCATCATCACTAATCATCAGATAAATGCAAATCAAAACCACAATGAGATACCACCTCACACCAGTCAGAATGGATATCTTAAAGAAGTCAAAGAACAACAGATGCTGGCAAGGTTGCTGAGAAAAGGGAGTGCTTATACACTGTTGATGGGAATATAAGTTGCCCCAGGCACTGTGGAAAGCAGCCTGTAGATTTCTCAAAAAAGTTAAAACAGGCCTACAATTTGACTCAGCAATCCCATTACTGGGTTTATACCTCAAAGAAAATAAAAAGACACATATACTCTTATGTTAATTGCTGTGCTATTCATAATAGCAAAGACGTGGAATCAACACAGGTGCCCATTAATGGCAGATTGGACAAAGAAAATATGGTACATATACACAATGGAATTTTCCACAGTCATAAATGTAGGCACCAGCCCCACAGGGCCGGGGGGTTTCTCCCTGTGTGCGGAGACAAGAGAGTGTAGAAATAAAGACACAAGACAAAGAGATAAAAGAAAAGGCAGCTGGGCCCGGGGGACCACTACCACCAAGTCGCGGAGACTGGTAGTCGCCCCGAATGTCTGGCTGTGCTGTTATTTATTGGATACAAAGCAAAAGGGGCAGGGTAAAGAGTGTGAGTCATCTCCAATGACAGGTAAGGTCACGTGGGTCACGTGTCCACTGGAAAAGGGGCTCTTCCCTGCCTGGCAGCCAAGGCAGAGAGAGAGAGGGAGAGAGAGAGACAGCTTATGCCATTATTTCTGCATATCAGAGACTTTTAGTACTTTCACTAATTTTGCTACTGTTTTTTTTTTTTGATTACTGAGGACTTTTATTTTATTTTATAATTATTATACTTTAAGTTTTAGGGTACATGTGCACAATGTGCAGGTTAGTTACATATGTATACATGTGCATTGCTGGTGCACTGCACCCACTAACTCGTTATCTAGCATTAGGTATATCTCCCATTGCTATCCCTGCCCCCTCCCCCCACCCCACAACAGGCCCCAGAGTGTGATGTTCCCCTTCCTGTGTCCATGTGTTCTCATTGTTCAATTCCCACCTATGAGTGAGAACATGTGGTGTTTGGTTTTTTGTTCTTGCGACAGTTTACTGAGAATGATGATTTCCAATTTCATCCATGTCCCTACAAAGGACATGAACTCATCATTTTTTATGGCTGCATAGTATTCCATGGTGTATATGTGCCACATTTTCTTAATCCAGTCTATCATTGTTGGACATTTGGGTTGGTTCCAAGTCTTTGCTATTGTGAATAATGCCGCAATAAACATACATGTGCATGTGTCTTTATAGCAGCATGATTTATAGTCCTTTGGGTACATACCCAGTAATGGGATGGCTGGGTCAAATGGTATTTCCAGTTCTAGATCCCTGAGGAATCGCCACACTGACTTCCACAATGGTTGAACTAGTTTACAGTCCCACCAACAGTGTAAAAGTGTTCCTATTTCTCCACATCCTCTCCAGCATCTGTTGTTTCCTGACTTTTTAATGATTGCCATTCTAACTGGTGTGAGATGGTATCTCATTGTGGTTTTGATTTGCATTTCTCTGACGGCCAGTGATGGTGAGCATTTTTTCTTGTGTTTTTTGGCCGCATAAATGTCTTCTTTTGAGAAGTGTCTGTTCATGTCCTTCGCCCACTTTTTGATGGGGTTGTTTGTTTTTTTCTTGTAAATTTGAATTCATTGTAGATTCTGGATATTAGCCCTTTGTCAGATGAGTAGGTTGCGAAAATTTTCTCCCATTTTGTAGGTTGCCTGTTCACTCTGATGGTAGTTTCTTTTGCTGTGCAGAAGCTCTTTAGTTTAATTATATCCCATTTGTCAATTTTGGCTTTTGTTGCCATTGCTTTTGGTGTTTTAGACATGAAGTCCTTGCCCATGCCTATGTCCTGAATGGTAAAGCCTAGGTTTTCTTCTAGGGTTTTTATGGTTTTAGGTCTAACGTTTAAGTCTTTAAGCCATCTTGAATTGATTTTTGTAAAAGGTGTAAGGAAGGGATCCAGTTTCAGCTTTCTACATATGGCTAGCCAGTTTTCCCAGCACCATTTATTAAATAGGGAATCCTTTCCCCATTGCTTGTTTTTCTCAGGTTTGTCAAAGATCATATAGTTGTAGATATGCGGTGTTATTTCTGAGGGCTCTGTTCTGTTCCATTGATCTACATCTCTGTTTTGGTACGAGTACCATGCTGTTTTGGTTACTGTAGCCTTGTAGTATAGTTTGAAGTCAGGTAGTGTGATGCCTCCAGCTTTGTTCTTTTGGCTTAGGATTGACTTGGCGATGCGGGCTCTTTTTTGGTTCCATGTGAACTGTAAAGTAGTTTTTTCCAATTCTGTGAAGAAAGTCATTGGTAGCTTGATGGGGATGGCATTGAATCTGTAAATGGCATTGAATCTGTAAATTACCTTGGGCAGTATGGCCATTTGCACAATATTGATTCTTCCTATCCATGAGCATGGAATGTTCTTCCATTTGTTTGTATCCTCTTTTATTTCCTTGAGCAGTGGTTTGTAGTTCTCCTTGAAGAGGTCCTTCACATCCCTTGTAAGTTGGATTCCTAGGTATTTTATTCTCTTTGAAGCAACTGTGAATGGGAGATCACTCATGATTTGGCTCTCTGTTTGTCTGTTGTTGGTGTATAAGAATGCTTGTGATTTTTGTACATTGATTTTGTATCCTGAGACTTTGCTGACGTTGCTTATCAGCTTAAGGAGATTTTGGGCTGAGATAATGGGGTTTTCTAGATATACAATCATCTCATCTGCAAACAGGGACAATTTGACTTCCTCTTTTCCTAATTGAATACCCTTTATTTCCTTGTCCTGCCTGATTGCCCTGGCCAGAACTTCCAACACTATGTTGAATAGGAGTGGTGAGAGAGGGCATCCCTGTCTTGTGCCAGTTTTCAAAGGGAATGCTTCCAGTTTTTGCCCATTCAGTATGATATTGGCTGTGGGTTTGTCATAGATAGCTCTTATTATTTTGAAATACGTCCCATCAATACCTAATTTATTGAGAGTTTTTAGCATGAACGGTTGTTGAATTTTGTCAAAGGCCTTTTCTGCATCTATTGAGATAATCATGTGGTTTTTGTCTTTG
This sequence comes from Homo sapiens, assembly GCF_000001405.40. NCBI lineage: Eukaryota > Metazoa > Chordata > Mammalia > Primates > Hominidae > Homo > Homo sapiens. The sequence continues at coordinate 32,152,822 of NC_000009.12, read as the reverse complement.
GTTCTGTTTATATGCTGGATTACATTTATTGATTTGCGTATATTGAACCAGCCTTGCATCCCGGGGATGAAGCCCACTTGATCGTGGTGGATAAGCTTTTTGATGTGCTGCTGGATTCGGTTTGCCAGTATTTTACTGAGGATTTTTGCATCAATGTTCATCAAGGATATGGGTCTAAAATTCGCTTTTTTGGTTGTGTCTCTGCCCGGCTTTGGTATCAGGATGATGCTGGCCTCATAAAATGAGTTAGGGAGGATTCCCTCTTTTTCTGTTGATTGGAATAGTTTCAGAAGGAATGGTACCAGTTCCTCCTTGTACCTCTGGTAGAATTCGGCTGTGAATCCATCTGGTCCTGGACTCTTTTTGGTTGGTAAGCTATTGATTATTGCCACAATTTCAGATCCTGTTATTGGTCTATTCAGAGATTCAACTTCTTCCTGGTTTAGTCTTGGGAGGGTGTATGTGTTGAGGAATTTATCCATTTCTTCTAGATTTTCTAGTTTATTTGCGTAGAGGTGTTTGTAGTATTCTCTGATGGTAGTTTGTATTTCTGTGGGATCGGTGGTGATATCCCCTTTATCATTTTTTATTGCGTCTATTTGATTCTTCTCTCTTTTTTTCTTTATTAGTCTTGCTAGTGGTCTATCAATTTTGTTGATCCTTTCAAAAAATCAGCTCCTGGATTCATTAATTTTTTGAAGGGTTTTTTGTGTCTGTATTTCCTTCAGTTCTGCTCTGATTTTAGTTATTTCTTGCCTTCTGCTAGCTTTTGAATGTGTTTGCTCTTGCTTTTCTAGTTCTTTTAATCGTGATGTTAGGTGTCAATTTTGGATCTTTCCTGCTTTCTCTTGTGGGCATTTAGTGCTATGAATTTCCCTCTACACACTGCTTTGAATGCATCCCAGAGATTCTGGTATTTTGTGTCTTTGTTCTCGTTGGTTTCAAAGAACATCTTTATTTCTGCCTTCATTTCGTTATGTACCCAGTAGTCATTCAGGAGCAGGTTATTCAGTTTCCATGTAGTTGAGCGGTTTTGAGTAAGATTCTTAATCCTGAGTTCTAGTTTGATTGCACTGTGGTCTGAGAGACAGTTTGTTATGATTTCTGTTCTTTTACATTTGCTGAGGAGAGCTTTACTTCCAACTATGTGGTCAATTTTGGAATAGGTGTGGTTTGGCGCTGAAAAAAATGTATATTCTGTTGATTTGGGGTGGAGAGTTCTGTAGATGTGTATTAGGTCCGCTTGGTGCAGAGCTGAGTTCAATTCCTGGGTATCCTTGTTGACTTTCTGTCTTGTTGATCTGTCTAATGTTGATAGTGGGGTGTTAAAGTGTCCCATTATTAATGTGTTGGAGTCTAAGTCTCTTTTAGGTCACTCAGGACTTGCTTTATGAATCTGGGTGCTCCTGTATTGGGTGCATATATATTTAGGATAGTTAGCTCTTCTTGTTGAGTTGATCCCTTTACCATTATGTAATGGCCTTCTTTGTCTCTTTTGATCTTTGTTGGTTTAAAGTCTGTTTTATCAGAGACTAGGATTGCAATCCCTGCCTTTTTTTGTTTACCATTTGCTTGGTAGATCTTCCTCCATCCCTTTATTTTGAGCCTATGTGTGTCTCTGCACGTGAGATGGGTTTCCTGAATACAGCACACTGATGGGTCTTGACTCTTTATCCAATTTGCCAGTCTGTGTCTTTTAATTGGAGCATTTAGTCCATTTACATTTAAAGTTAATATTGTTATATGTGAATTTGATCCTGTCATTATGATGTTAGCTGGTTATTTTGCTCATTAGTTGATGCATTTTCTTGCTAGTCTCAATGGTCTTTACATTTTGGCATGATTTTGCAGTGGCTGGTACTGGTTGTTCCTTTCCATGTTTAGCACTTCCTTCAGGAGCTCTTTTAGGGCAGGCCTGGTGGTGACAAAATCTCTCAGCATTTGCTTGTCTATAAAGGATTTTATTTCTCCTTCACTTATGAAGCTTAGTTTGGCTGGATATGAAATTCTGGATTGAAAATTCTTTTCTTTAAGAATGTTGAATATTGGCCCCCACTCTCTTCTGGCTTGTAGAGTTTCTGCCGAGAGATCTGCTGTTAGTCTGATGGGCTTCCCTTTGAGGGTAACCCGACCTTTCTCTCTGGCTGCCCTTAACATTTTTTCCTTTATTTCAACTTCGGTGAATCTGACAATTATGTGTCTTGGAGTTGCTCTTCTCGAGGAGTATCTTTGTGGCGTTCTCTGTATTTCCTGAATTTGAATGTTGGCCTGCCTTGCTAGATTGGGGAAATTCTCCTGGATAATATCCTGCAGAGTGTTTTCCAACTTGGTTCCATTCTCCCTGTCACTTTCAGGTACACCAATCACACGTAGATTTGGTCTTTTCACATAGTCCCATATTTCTTGGAGGCTTTGCTCGTTTCTTTTTATTCTTTTTTATCTAAACTTCCCTTCTTGCTTCATTTCATTCTTTTCATCTTCTATCGCTGAAACCCTTTCTTCCAGTTGATCGCTTCGGCTCCTGAGGCTTCTGCATTTTTCACGTAGTTCTCGAGCCTTGATTTTCAGCTCCATCTGCTGATTTAAGCACTTCTCTGTATTGGTTATTCTAGTTATACATTCTTCTAAATTTTTTTCAAAGTTTTCAACTTCTTTGCCTTTGGTTTGAATGTCCTCCCGTAGCTCGGAGTAATTTGATCATCTGAAGCCTTCTTCTCTCAGCTCGTCAAAGTCATTCTCCGTCCAGCTTTGTTCCGTTGCTGGTGAGGAACTGCGCTCCTTTGGAGGAGGAGAGGCACTCTGCTTTTTACAGTTTCCAGTTTTTCTGTTCTGTTTTTTCCCCATCTTTGTGGTTTTATCTACTTTTGGTCTTTGATGATGGTGATGTACAGATGGGTTTTTGGTGTGGATGTCCTTTCTGTGTGTTAGTTTTCCTTCTAACAGACAGGACCCTCAGCTGCAGGTCTGTTGGAGTACCTGGCCGTGTGAGTTGTCAGTCTGCCCCTGCTGGGGGTTGCCTCCCAGTTAGGGTGCTCGGGGGTCAGGGGTCAGGGACCCACTTGAGGAGGCAGTCTTCCCGTTCTCAGATCTTCAGCTACGTGCTGGGAGAAACACTGCTCTCTTCAAAGCTGTCAGACAGGGACATTTAAGTCTGCAGAGGTTACTGCTGTCTTTTTGTTTGTCTGTGCCTTGCCCCCAGAGGTGGAGCCTACAGAGGCAGGCAGGCCTCCTTGAGCTGTGGTGGGCTCCACCCAGTTCGAGCTTCCTGGCTGCTTTGTTTACCTAAGCAAGCCAGGGCAATGGTGGGCGCCCCTCCCCCAGCCTTGCTGCTGCCTTGCAGTTTGATCTCAGACTGCTGTGCTAGCAGTCAGCGAGACTCCGTGGCGTAGGACCCTCCGAGCCAGGTGCGTGATATAATCTCCTGGTGTGCCGTTTTTTAAGCCCGTTGGAAAAGCGCAGTATTCGGGTGGAGTGACCCAATTTTCCAGGTGCCGTCTGTCACCCCTTTCTTTGACTAGGAAAGGGAACTCCCTGATCCCTTGCGCTTCCTGAGTGAGGCAATGCCTTGCCCTGCTTCAGCTTGTGCACGGTGCGCGCACCCACTGACCTGCGCCCACTATCTGGGAGTCCCTAGTGAGATGCACCCGGTACCTCAGATGGAAATGCAGAAATCACCCGTCTTCTGCGTCGCTCACGCTGGGAGCTGTAGACCGGAGCTGTTCCTATTTGGCCATCTTGGCTCCTCCCCCCACTGAGGACTTTTTCTAATTTTGCTACTGTCATCTAAAAGGCAGAGCCAGGTGTACAGGATGGAACATGAAGGCAGACTAGGAGTGTGACCACTGAAGCACAGCATCACAGGGAGACTGTTAGGCCTCCGGATAACTGTGGGCGGGCCTGACTGATGTCAGGCCCTCCACAAGAGGTGGAGGAGTAGAGTCTTTTCTAAACTCCCTGGGGGAAAGGGAGACTCCCTTACCCAGTCTGCTAAGTAGCGGGTGTTTTTCCTTGACACTGAGGCTACCGCTAGACCACGGTCTGCTTGGCAACGGGCGTCTTCCCAGATGCTGGTGTTACCGCTAGACCAAGGAGCCCTCTGGTGGCCCTGTCCGGGCATAACAGAAGGCTCACACTCTTGTCTTCTGGTCACTTCTCACTGTGTCCCCTCAGCTCCGATCTCTGTATGGCCTGGTTTTTCCTAGGTTATGGTTATAGAGCGAGGATTATTATAATATTAGAATAAAGAGTAATTGCTACAAACTAATGATTAATGAATGATATTCATATATAATCATGTCTATGATCTAGATCTAGTATAACTCTTGTTTTATATATTTTATTATACTGGTACAGCTCGTGCCCTTGGTCTCTTGCCTCAGCACCTGGGTGGCTTGCTGCCCACCATAAAAAAAAATGAAATCATGTCCTTTGCAGCAACATGGATGGATCTGGAGGCCATAATCCTAAGTGAATTAGTGCAGTAACAGAAAACCAAATACTGTGTGTTCTCACTTATAAGTGGGAACTAAACATTGAGCACACATGAATATAAATATGGGAAAAATAGACACTGTGGACTACTAGAGGGTGGAGGGAGAGAAGGGCTGGTGGGTTAAAAAAATATGTATCAGGTACTATGCTCACTGCCTGGACAATGGGATCCACACTCCAAACCTCAGCATCACGTAATATTCCTATGTAACAACTCTGCACATATATTTCCTGTATCTAAAATAAAAGTTGAAATGAAAATAATAGGAGATACAGTAGGAGATACAGCAGCAAGGCAGTGATATCTTATCATTATTTTATTTACCCACTTGTTCAAGGACAAATATTTTCTTACTGCTTGTCATGCACGATGGTAGTTGACACAAATAACAGTGGTTTTCTTGCTATATTCTGCTATTTCCTTGTCATATTTCTGTTTTATTCCACTTGTGTTGGAGAAGCCCTTTCTGGCCCCAACACTGCTCTTTTACAGATCCTTCTAGGCCCTCTTGGGCTACAGTTTTTCAAGAGGCAGATACCTGATTAAGTTGAGCTAATTATAGCAAACCCTCACTTCCCCATTTATAGAAAGTGGTCCAGAGATGGACGAGCAGATGACTTCAGCCTGGAACATCAACGTCTATCTGTTGGACTCCTTAAGGGAGTTAAAAGTAGAAACTCCTTGACTTACCAATGGTAAGAATTGGGCCACGTATGGCTATAACGGTTATTGTTCCAGTTCCATTTGTAAAAAGTGTCTGAAAAAGTCAGTAGGCAGAGAGAATAAGAGATAGAGAGACAAAGAGAAATATTTCTGATTATTTTCATGTCTGTGTCCTTTCTTATTCCATTTATCATTTGTTCTTGAGAGCTGAATTATTGTTCTCCTTCATTTTTGATTATGAGTCAACAAGCTCCTTTCTTCTTGCCTCAGTGAACTTAGTTTAGGTTTATTTTACTTGTAACTAAAAGAGTTCTAAGTAATACCTCCCTATAACTGTGTATTAGTCAGGGTCCTCTAAAGGGACAGAACTAAAAGAATAAATGAATATGTAAAGGGGAGTTTATTAGGAGAATTGACTCACATGATCACAGAGAAGAGCAATCACAGAGCTCTTCAAAGATGCAGGTGCTCCCCTCGCAAATCTATTTTGCAAAGTATTAGTGAAGAGTATGTCTTCTGGACCCTCCCACCTGGGATGTGTAGGTCTGAGGTGACTAATCTACTCCACCATCCCAATCTCCCTAAACCTTTTTATCCTTTCCTCTACATTAAACCAAGGGAGATCAGGCATTTCCAGCTTGCTCACTTTGGGCCATCTTTCGATCCATATTTCAGCTAACCAAGCAAATCAACTATTAGAACCTTTTTTAACTCCCTTAGCTGCAACATTAAATGCAGAATCCCGGCTTAGTGAGCCCAAATCAATAAATTCGGCCAGATCCAACTTTATGTTCCTTTCACTATTATCCCACACCCTTAATATCCATTTCCATGCCTGTTCTCCAGATTTCTGCTAATATAAATTAGAAAACTCAAGCAGTTCTTCTGGAGTATAGCACACCTCCTCATGGGTCACATTCTGAACCTCATCTGTAGGGGCCTGCTGGGACTTTAGTCCAGTTATAGGTCTAGAGGCAAACAGGGGTGTTGGGGTGGGTCCTGAGGAGAATCAACATTGTCTTGCCTGGCAAGTGCCTCAGGGGAGGCCATCACTGTTGCCTCAGGCAGTGCAAGGTTAATCTCCTCAGACAAGGGTGGAAAGGCTGATGGCAGCATGGGTTGGGGAGGGGATGTTGCCACCACTGGGGATGGGGAAGCTGTTTCCTCAGGCAAAAAAAGCCTCATCAGAGTTTACAAGCTCAATGTCCCCAGCTTCATCAGGGTCTTCCCACATGTCCCCATTCCAAGTTGGAGGGTCCCATTCTTTTCCAATTAATGCCCTCACTTTAACAGTAGACAGTAGACAGGCAAGGCTGTGTATGCACCTTTCATTGAAGGTCAGCCACTCTCGTAGGAGCTTGTGTCTGATTTTCCACAATTTCAGCTCTTTCTTTACAAGAGATAGGACTCTCAATCAGGGCAGTCTTAGGAGACTTGAGGCTCAGTATGTGCTTCTGAAGCTGGGAGTTAGAATCTCTGAGTTTATTGTGTTCCTACATCATTTTGTCCAGCGAACTTAGGAGCAACCAACCAGCTTCATTATGTTCCTTTGTTCTCCACATATGGTCAAAGTTATTATGTATAGAGTCACTAAACTCCTTGCCTCTCACAAGCAGTGAACCAGGAGTATCAAATGCATTTATTTCACATAACTCTTTAAACAGTTCATGCCAAGGACTATCTGTGTTCTCCATGCTATTAGAAGTAGAGTCCTTAGCATTTTGGGGTATAATCATATTAAGCAGTCAACTCCAGAAAGGAATCCATCCATAAAATTCTGTTCCTTTAGAACCGCTCCTGGTGACACAGCTTCGATGACTGGAGGAACACCAGGGTCCTTCGTCTCATGCCGGTTCAGATAAAATGACACAGACACACATAGAGTGGTTTTAAGGAGTGAAAAGTTTAATAGACAAGAAAGAAGGAAGGAAGAAGAAAACAGCTCTGCCATACAGAGACAGCGGGAGGGGGGATATGAACAAAGAGAAAACTCCGTGTGTGCTGAAAAGTGGCTGCTTATATTGGGATGCTGGAGGAGGCAGTGTCTGGTTTCCATAGGGCCCAGGGGATTGGTTTGACCAGGTGTGTCATTTACGTAGCCCGCAAAAAACCTGGCCCTCCCACCTTAGCCCTTTAAAATGCAAATGTGGGTTGCCATTATGTTCCAAACACATGGTGTTATCTGGCGGTCGCCATGATATTTGGTACCTCTGGTGATAAGGAGAAGGTGGTGGGAATTACCATTTTGAGTGAAACCAGTTTCTAAAGGCCAGCATTTGCATATCAAAGCTTGCTGGCCAGGCTTTTCAAGCAGGTTTTTCTGTTAGAAAAGAGATGGTTGGATTGTGGAAGACAGTGTGGTGATTCCTCAAGGATCTAGAACTAGAAATACCACTTGACCCAGCAATCCCATTACTGGGTATATACCCAAAGGATAAATCATGCTACTATAAAGACACATGCACATGTATGTTTATTGCGGCACTATTCACAACAGCAAAGACTTGGAACCAACCCAAATGTCCATCAATAATAGACTGAAGAAAGAAAACATGGCACATATACACCATGGAATACTATGCAGCCATAAAAAAGAAGAGTTCATGTCCTTTGCAGGGACATGGATGAAGCTGGAAGCCATAATTCTCAGCAAACTATCACAAGGACAGAAAATCAAACACTGCATGTTCTCACTCATAAGTGGGAGGTGAACAATGAGAACACATGGACACAGGGAGGGGAACATCCCACACCGGGGCCTGTTGGGGGTAGGGGGCTGGGGGAGGAATAGCACTGGGAGAAATACCTAATGTAAACGACGAGTTGATGGGTGCAGCAAACCAGCATGGCACATGTATACCTATGTAACAAACCTGCATGTTGTGCACATGTATCCCAGAACTTAAAGTATAATAATAATAATAATAATAATAAAAAGAAAAGAGATGGTTGGGGTGGTTGTTTCTAATTACAAGAAAATTTCTACTGAGAACATTTACCCTTACTATCTGCCTAAAAATCATTTCTTAATAACTCCTGTATCACTGGTACCAAAATCTGTATTAGTCAGGGTTCTCTAGAGGGGACAGAACTAATAGGATAGATGAATATATGAAGGGGAGTTTATTAGGAGAATTGACTCACACAATCACAAGGTGAAGTCCCACAGTAGGCCATCTCTAAGCTGAGAAGCCAGGAAGCTCGTCTGAGTCTGAACACCTCAAAAGTAGGGAAGCTGATAGTGTAGCCTTCAGTCTGTGGCCGACAGCCTGAGAGCCCCTGACAAATCATTGGTGTAAGTCCAGGAGTCCAAAAGCTGAAGAACTTGGGAGTCTGATGTTCAAGGGCAGGAAGCATCCAGCATGGGAGAAAGATGGAGGCCAGAAGACTCGGGTCAGTCTAGCCCTTCCACGTTCCTCTGCCTGCTTTTATCCTATTCATGCTAGATGGTGCCCACCTGAATTAAGGGTAGGTCTGCCTCTCCCAGTCCACTGACTAAAATGTTAATCTCCTTTGGCAACACCCTCACAGACACACCCAGGAACAATACTTTGTATCCTTGAATCCAATCAAGTTAACACTCAATATTAACCATCACAATCCTGTTAACCAGCTCATGGAAAAATAAGTAAAAATGATTGTACAAATATTTGGCAATTTCACCCAAGGATAGCAGGGAGTGTCTTGATTTTAAATGATAGCATTATTTTACTGTGATCTCACAGTAAATTAGAGTTTTAAAATATATATAAAATATATATTAATATATTAATATAATACTTAATATAAAATAAAAAATTTCAGTTTCTTTTTAAAAAATGTAGCCTTGTGTTGCATTTTACATCTTAAGCTATTTGTACATGATTTCATAAAAATAATAATGGAAAAAAAAGTAGAGTGAATAAAGGAAAGTAAGTTTAAATGTCTCAAGTTTCCTTAGTTATTATTAAACCCTTATATAATTTGTATACAGAAAAATATGTTTTAATATATAGGTAAAAGCCATTCTACTGTTTTGCACAGGGTCTGGGAATGCAACAATGGGAAAGTCAGTCCTTACCAAGATCTTAAACAGTCTTGGGTTTGCTTTCTAATTAATTTGACTTTATTAACTCACCACGATGACATTTTTGTCTTGGAAGAGGGTTAGTCTGTGTTAAGTGAACTGATAACAAGCCTCTTTATAGAGCAATATATAGATTAGTTACTATTTGCAGCAATGGTAACCTAGAAGTCTTGTGTTGTTGATTGGTGCATCGTCTTTGCCTTAGGAACAACTAAGAAAAAAAATCAATTTCAGATGATGTTATTTGGTAAGTAAAGGGTCAAAATAAATTAGTGGAATGATTTATATTACTTTATGTATTATGAATTATACCTTAAATAATTATAATGAACTAGAATAGTATTATTAGCCAGAGTACTTCTCCCCTGATCTATATTGTTGGAACACATTCTTCAGTATCCACTTGCAAATGTTCTTGTAATTACCAAATTATTGGCATTACCATAGTCAGTTTTATAGCTTATATTTCATAATTGCATTTTAAGTTGGCAGTTTCCCAGCTGAGTTAGAAGTTAGCATAACCCCATCAACATTATGTTTATAAGTCATATTTTAATGAGTTTTCCTTATTGGAAGACATTCTCATATGGAAAGTACCAGGCATGTACAGGGATTTTGTGATCTTTTAATCAAAGATTAAATAAAAAGGTGATTTGAAACAGGGGACATTATGTAAATACAATATGCCACTCATTAATCCTTCTATTCCATAATCTATGAATCTTATAGACTGAATCTTGTCTTTATTTGAAAGATACTTTTCCTTTTATTCTGAACAGTATATTTTATTCATGTTATTAAATATTCCTATGAAATTGATAATAAGTATAATGAAGAACATCAACAAAGTGAGACATGCAGTAACTCACTCATGGAGGCAAATGCTTACTTGTTAATCTTGACTAACTCAACTTTCAGTGGATCACCCCTTCTATTAAAGCAGCTTATTTTCTATGGTAGACATCTGCAAAATGGATCATATTTTCCTTTTACAGAAACAGAGATGAGTATTACATCAGTATTCACATCAACAAATAACAGTTGAACTTGAAATTTCAAAAGTTATCGTAAAAGCATATACCATTGACATTTCTGATTAAAATGGTGAGTTGCTTTTCCCCCTAAATGGCTAAAACTGACAATGTGATTTTCCATGTGTGTGTCTGTTTTGCTATAAGAAACATTTTTCAAAGAGTCTCAATTACTGATATGTCTTTCCTATCAATTTCACCTTTGTGCCATGTCACATCTCTTTAAGAAAACCAGTTTAACAATTTTCCAGCTTGCAAATAGGTGAATTAGGAAATACATTCATGAAGTGAATTATGAGATAATCTAAAGCACTTACAGCCAAAATTGATTCATAAAACTCAATTTACACTAATCCTTTCAGACACTCAGGCAGCGACCAGATGATACAGAACTATAAATAATAAAAGATAAGGTTCTAGTGAAATAAACTGAAGGTATAACCAAATACAGATGAATAGCCTAACTGACATTGTGGTCAGGAAAACTCTGAATTAGAGAATGACTTCTGTGTATAAAAAGGTCTTTCTACGAGTTTGCCATTTTAAAAAATGTTGTAATTATTAAATGTTCTTCACTTAAACACTTGAAAAGATAGAAAAAAAGCGAGTTTTCTGCTTTACTAAAACTTATAGGAAAGGCCTTTTTTGTGTAAACATTGGTTTTTGTGGAAAGTTATGGTTATAGAGAATTGTGATTCCTTATTGGATGGCAGTTAATCTCTTGTTAGAAATAGTATTCCTAATGCTAAAATACATCTTATAAGGCATTTTCTATGATTTTAGTTGAATTCTTTCTAAAACTTGGTAAATTCAGCAAATGTTTCTTATTCACATTTTATTGGTCAGCAAACAGAAACACAGGTATTAAAGGACTTGTCTTAGGATACACAGTTATAATAATAGAGTCTTTCCAACACTTTAGGGAAAGTTTAGCAACCTGATACTTCCAACTGTAAAGATGCTGAGAGTTTAAGCAACTTGTCCTGCCAAGTTGGCAGAGTGAAGTGGTGGCAGAATGAAAACTAAGTCATAAACATTGAATATTTAGAAAACAAAGTTACAGGACTTTGACTATTTAGAAAACATTTTCTAGGAAAACTCCTTGTTTAGGCTAGAATTCAAATCTACAGTGTGTTTATAACAGAGTCCTGAAATATTTATCCTGAGTGCTGTGGCTTATTCCTTCCAGGATTAGTAGAACCTTGACCTTTCCTCCTTGAGGCCATAATTGACCAGAGTCTTTCTCATGCATTGCTTCTGCCTCCTGCCATTGGAGTGGAATTAGCAGAAAATGACATCTTCCACGGAGCAGGCAGTCACTGTGCCTCCTTGCCTTTCTGCAACTGTGTTTCTCTCTGCAGCATCTACTTCTTTGCCCTGTAAATTGTGAAGGCTCAGCAAACAAGACTGGCTTAGTAGAATTTTGTGTCAGTTGAATCTAAACACAAAACTATCTGATATAACTATAGGCAGCCTAACACTGTAATCTTGGAGGAATAGACAACAATTGTAGGACTGATAGGGCTAGGTTTAGAAAAACAATTCCGAATACAGCAAATGATGTTCACTGGCTTCAATTTATGGGCTGCCTGATAGTTATATATTTCTGTGTGATTTGAGGCATTTATCTTTTTTCTGTCTTTTGATATTTTAGTAAGATGTTGAAAGGAGCTGCATTGGAGTTTACTGAGCCAGTTGCTAGAATGAACTGGCAATACATATTTACCATCTGTTCTTAAAGAATGAAAATCCCAAGTTCCATTAATTCACCAATATATGCTAATCCATTTGTATTTCAAGATGAGATTATTGACTTTGGCATCGAAATGTGTTTTATTCCTAAAAATTTTCCATACTGTTAAGGTTAAGCACCTTTTCCTTAGTCTTCAAGGAAAGTTAAAGACTTTCCTTTGAAAAGGTGCTTTGCTTGCATCTCTTACAGAAGCACTTTCATAACACAATGGGAGCTATCGTTTGAATCACTCATTCCACAAGAACAAGAATCTGCCATAAGATCTCCAGGTGGTTTCAGGTAGAAGAAGGGTGGAGAGTGTTGGCAGTAATATGGTATGCAGCTACTATTTCCCCAAATCTTTCTCTAGGCAGAATATTTCAGGAAATATTTATTCTAGAGGGCTCTTAAAAACATTTTCATTAAAAGATTATGCTAAAAATCTAATTTTAAAAATCCACACAACAGTCTTAATTTTGTGAATGTCATAAGAAGCTAGGGAATTCTGCTAAATCCACTTTTCTGTTATCTGGAAATTCTCTAATTTACTGAAGGTTATTGATAGGAGGAGAAAGGAGATGTGAGAGAGGGTTGGCAGAAAGAGCTCATGTTCTTACTCCCAAAGTCCTCTGGAATCATTGTCACCCGTGGACTCTGGCCTTATCACTGGTTCTGCTGGGACTTCTGTCTCCCAATTCTTGAAATTGCATTATGCATATGTTTTCTCCTAAATATTGCCTTTATTATCATCTCCTGGAAAATAGGTGACTCATCTTCCTCGGTATTGGGAAGAATGTGCTTCTTGTGTCTATTACCAACCAAACTAAAACCTGGAAAGGTATGGAAGAAGGAAATACAGAAGGTTGATGCTCAAGACACTTATATGTTGAATGATGTATTTCATTTAACCTATGCCACAATATTTTGTGCAGAGTTTAATAATAATCGTAAGCAACATGTCAAGGCAGAGTTTGAACATTATTTAGCAATCCATTGTTTTAAATTTCTAATCTGTTTAAACTCAAAATATTCTTCTCTATGGTATTCTTCTGTTTCTCTAAGCAATTTTTTCAAGATTGCAAAATGTGAATCATAATCAGCTGAACCAACAAAAAATCACATGCTCAGTGAAGTTTCGTTAGCTCTGTTATTTAAAGCTGATCTGCTCACACAGCTCCATTCCCACTGGTCCTCTTGCTATTCCTTCACATTTTAAGCTGCATATCTGTGGCAGAGTCTCTGCACTGCCCGTTTCCTCTTCCTGGGACATCTTTTCCCCAGATCATTACCAAAATCATCACTCTCTTCCTTCATCCAGGTCTGTGCCCAAATTGCACCACCACCTCTGAGAGGGCTTCCTTTACAGCCCTATCTCAGACAGCAGCCTGTCACTCTCCTCTTATGCTGCTTTTTTTTTCAGCATTGTCACTACTTACTATATTTGTACCCATTTATGGATGGATTGATTGCTTGTTTTATGCAGTAAAGCATAAGCTCTATGAGGACAAAGACTTTGCTTTGTTCACTGTACATTCATTCCTAACATCTAGGGGAAAAAAAGGTGCCTGGAACTTCATAGGCACTAGGTAATTAAAAAAATAGCTTTAATGCTTGCACATTCCACCTTTAATAATTGCCTTTTGAAAAATTGCCATTATGGAAAATACTCAAAAAAACTTCAAATGCACCTGGCAGTTTTAACCTGGACTTTAACAGAGACTATACATTGCTGTAATGTGTTCTTTTGTTTTTAAAATGTAAAAGCAAATTTTTAATAGACAAGTCATAATTATGTTACATTTATGAAGTGCAATGTGATGTTTTGATATATGTATGCAATGTGGAATGATTAAATTGAGCTAATCAACATATCTATCACTTTACTTTTTAACTTTTTTTATTGATACATTTGAAACTTACTCTTAATTATTTTGAAATATACAATACATTATTATCGATTATACATACCCTGCTGAGCAACAGATCTCAAAACTTATTCCTCCTGTCTAACTGAAACTTTGTATCCTTTGACCAGTTATTTACTCCCCATTCCCTCACTCCCTTACCCCAGAATCTGATAGCCACCATTCTTCTCTCTAATTCTGTGAGTTCAACTTTTTTGCAATTCCACATATAATTGAGATTATGCAGTATTTGTCTTTCTGTGCCTGGCTTATTTCACTTAGCATGTCCTGTAGATTTACCTATGTTGTCCTAAATGACTGAGTTTTATTCTCTTTTGAGGCTGAGTTGTGTTCTACTGTGTAAATATACTACATTTTCTTTAGCCATTCATCCGTTGATTGACACTTGATTCCATACCTTAGCTAGTGTAAATAATGCTGCATTGAACATGGGAGTACAGACATCGCTTTGACATATTTCTTTCAATTCCTTTGGATGTATTCTCAGAAGTGGGATTGCTGGACTGTGTGATAGTTTTATATTTAGATTTTTGAGGAACCTCCATACTGTTTTTCATAATGGCTGCACTAACTTACATTCCCACTAACAGTGTACAGGGTTCCCTTTTGTCCATATCCTTGCAAACACTTATCTTTCATCTTTTTGATAAAACCCATTCTAACAGGCATAAGGCGATATCACATTGTGGTTTTAATTTGCATTTCCCTGATGAGATGGTGCTGAGCATTTTTTTCATGAACCTGTGGTCATTCATATGTCTTCTTTTGAGATGTGTCTATTCAGGTCCTTTGCTTATATTTTAATCAAGTTATTTGTTTACTATTGAGTGAAAGAGTTCTTTATGTATTTTGGTTATTAGCCCCTTAACAGATATATGTATAGCTTGCAAAATATTTTTCCCAGTCTGTGGGTTGTCTCTTCAATTTGTTAATTCTTTTTTTTTTTTTTTTTTTTTTTTTGGTTGCTGGGCAGAACGTTTTTAGTTTGATGCAATCCCATCTGTCTATTTTTGCTTTTGTTGCCTGAGCTTTTGGGGTCATAGCCAAAAAATCCTTGCCCAAACAGCAGTGTTATGGAGCTTTTCCCCTAAGTTTTATTCTAGTAGTTTTATAGTTTTAGGTTTTACATTTAGATCTTTAATCCAATTTGAGTTGATTTTTGGGAATAGTGTAACATAAGGGCCTTATTTCATCTTTCTGCATGTGGATAACCGGTTTTCCAGTGCCATTTACTGAGTGCATTGTCCTTTCACCATTGTGTGCTTTTGGCACCTTTGCCAAAAATCAATTTATTGTAACTGTTTTGGTTTACTTCTGGATTCTTTATTCTATTTCATTGATCTATGTGTCTGTTTTTATGCCACTATCATGCTGTTTTGGTTATTACAGTTTTGTAGTATATTTTGAAATCAAGCAGTGTGATGCCTCCAGTTTTATTGTTTTTGCTCAAGACTGTTTTAGCTATTTGCAGTCTTTGTATTACTACACAAATTTAAGGATTGTTTTTTCTATTTTTGCAAAAAGTCACATTGGAATTTTGATAGGGATTGTATTGAATCTAGATTGCTTTTGATAGTATGGACATTTTAACAATATTAAATTATCCAATCCATGAACATAGGATATCTTTCCATTTATTTGTGCCTTCTTCAGTTTTTTAATAACTGAATTGACATCTTGATCTTCCTAAGTAGATCAGATTCCTCTTTTCAATGTTTCCTATAACTTATTACAGTCTGTAAGTTGCAGACTGTAAATACAAAAAGTTACAGTTTGTAAATACAAACTAACATTCGTGTACATATATATATACACACACCCACACACACACTCCCCCTCGTTAGAGTCTATGTAATACAGACCTCAGATAACAATGTTTAAATAAGAGGTTTAAACAAGAAGGAAGCTTACTGCTCTTAGTGTAATAGCCTGTAGGTAGGCTGTCCCAGGGCTGGCAGGGCAGCTTTGATGCATGAGGTCATCCAAGGACACAGCTTCTGTCTTGTTACTCAACCATCCCACAGGCACAGTCCTCCTGTGTGCCATCCTAGATAGCCATCAGTTACACATGCCTGCCAGCAGGGAGAGAGTAGGAGACAAGACGGGCAAACTCTCCTTTCCTGTAATAGTGTGATAATTTCCAATAATGAGGGAGTCTGGGAAATGGAGTATTCATTATACCCATATGAAAGTTCATTTATCAAGGAAGACAAAATAAATTATATTGGAGGACAAGTAGCAGGCTCTGCTACAATCTCTTTGTGTAAGAATTTAATTACTGTTCCTCTCTATCACTGAACCTCTATCCTCTGTATCATTGAACACCTATGATTTTTCTGTTTAATCTTTGGGTCCCAGCACAATGTCACTACATAATAGTCACTCAGTAAATACATAGTTAAATAATTATTTTATTGATGATGCCGGTATCAGCTGGGAATATTCACTTATCACATAGAAAATTTTTCAAAAAGAAGGAAGGTAGGAAGGTTATTCTATCAGTCTAGGCAAAAGGAGAGGAAAGTTGAAATAGGGAAGTGTTGATAAAGATGCAACAGAAAGATGTGAGGAATTTAAGGCTTTACAAGATAATGGTGGGAACTGAGGGAGAGAACTGTCTGAGGAAGTTGGGAAGGGGAGGTGATAGGGTCTTCTGTAATGGTCACTAGGCCTTCCCTAGGGGAAGAATGGGCGGCTCAGGGAGGGTTTCTGGGGACTCTGGAGGTTCTCAGATGGCCCCTCTTTCCATTTTATGAGCTGCCCAGATTCTTAAAAAAAAATCACCATTTTTGTGAAGCTTAGTTTCCATTATAATTATTTCCCTTTCAAACAAATAAAAAATTCTGACTGACACGTTACTGAGAGAGGGGTCTTGAAACTTGTACCTGGATTTGTAGATAACCCTTTGCTTATATGTAGACATTTGCAAACATCCCAGTGTATAAGCAAACATTCTTGGAATGTTAAAAGAAACATATTGCCAATATAGCTAAGCTTAATGTAATAGAAAAAATACTCACTGAAAATGTATAGATACATTACAAAGATTAAAAAGTGACTGCTGTTGAATGTGATAAACACTTTCTATTAAAAGTAATATTTTTGGTGAAAAATCTTAATTTCTATAATATGCAATAGCATAAAATAAACTGCATATAGGGGTCACATTTGAAAATTATAAAAACCTGTTTTACTTTGAGACTTCATATACCTAAAATAACAATAACAGTAGTCAGCAATGATCCTAAAACAACACAAGGCAAATATAAAAATAGCTTTTCTAAAAATGATGATATTAACTTCAGCGGGGGAAAAAAATGACAAAGACAAAAGGTATTTTAACTATCAGGCTTTTATCATGTCATCCTCATAAGATTAAGTCAGCTTTGCCTAAGGTAGAGGCAGTTTCACATCTTACTTTGTGTTTCATGGTAACAATTGCAATGGAAAAAGGTCACTTTCACAACAAATTGATCCAAGATGAAAAGTGAACAATAATGCCAGTATTATTTTGCTAAAGTCCTCTGTGAATTAAAAGTAGCAAAATTTATGATGACATATGTGGTTTGCCATGTTGGTATAATATTTATGTTTGAATCAAGAAATCTAAAAAAAAATTTAATGTGGGCTATATTTGGGCTATATTGAGTGTAAATATGTTTTACGTAGTTCTAGTATAGTACAGGATCAATTTTTATAGTTTTTATGCTTAGTATTATTTCATGCTTCTCACCTTTTTCAGTATCATACTTATTTTGAGTAAAAAATGTGTCTGGGACAGCTTATGATGCTTATGATGGGCTTTGTATGACATGCTAAATAATTTGAAAATTGGTTGGAAATGCTGAGACATATGAGTATTTAACAGGGGAGTAAAATAGTGAGTCTGATTTCAAAAAAATTACTCTGTGACAGTGAGGAAGACTGATATGAGGCAGCCAGGTTGTAGGAAGGAAAATGAGGAGATTCGACATTTGAAATTGCATATGTTCTTTCTCTATACATTAAGGTGTTTGCTAAATTGCTGTTTGAACTTTTCCTCCCTCTCCTTGTCCTCCACCTTCTTTAGTCTTCAGACTGCAGTTAACTTTCTGAGAGGGATATTTTTACTTAAAACCTTTGCTGTCCTAGTGGCAGAGCTTCCAGGAATCAGGACTAAGGACAGATTTGAGTGACTACCATCACATTGTGTTCAGAGTTCTTATTCCTCACCAACAACTAGACACTGGTATTGGGTTAAATTACTCGAGCTAGCCTCCTTCTTATGTAGGACAGATCTGTTTCTGAGTGTCCAGGTTCCTGACTGAACAGATGCATCAGTTTATTAGACATGCCCACATATGTCGGAACCCCAGGAACTGATGTAACTCAGGATCTTTCTCAGGTGGCTCCTTGGCCCTGTAAATAGGCTTCTGAAGGTATATCTCATCAGTTTGCAAAACAAGCCTAAACCTGCCTGAATCCCAGCAGTGAGCGGGAGTGTCTCAAACTAAGTCCCTCATCTACAGCAGTTGCGGTCAAAATAATATCAAATAACATAACTGGACTGGGTCTCTTTGTATCCAATTTAATACTTCTCAATGAGTTTTCACATACTTCATCTTCACAAAAACACTTTGAGATACATTGGGAAGGCATTTCTTATAATCCCATTTCCAAATCAAGAAAATAGTAGGAAATGTGAAGCAAATAGGAGGGGCAAGACTAGAAAGTAGCTTTCTGATAACTGAAATGGGAGATAAATAGGAAACTAACTGATTTTGTAGCTGCAAGAGCAGGAGAATGGGCATGTGAAGTGATATGGAGATAACTGAAAACTAAAAGGACAAGAAGAGCACAAACCCGATTAAAGGAGATGAAAGACATCAAGTCTTAGGTGGGGAGGGTGGTGGTAACACATAAATGTGAAGAGAAATCTTCCCTACCTGATATCAAGAATCAATATGAGGTTTCTGGGATAAACATATAATAAAACAACTTTGTTCTGAATTTGCTTTCAATAAATTACAGGGGGAAAATACTCCAAGTAGTTAAGATCATTTAGTCAAAAATGTATCTGTCAGATCTAATCAGGTTTGTAGAACATTAACACTGCAGTTAATTCACTTCATGGTACCATATTGAATATAAGTTACACCTTTGTTTTATGTGTCACTAAATTTTTTTAAATGCTGCCAATTAAATATGGCAAGCCAGTAATTATAACATGTATCTTGATTTCAGAGCTGATGAAATATTTACAAATGTGTGTCTCAGATTAATTTAATGTCATTAATCATACTTTCCAAATATATTTTTATGTGAATGATAGAATCTGTGCACATTAGTTGATGAAGTTCATTGTGCAAAAGACAAACTTACCTAGTTGGCTAATGATCTCAATCACTTGCCATGTGACAATCTGGGGAGAAAAATGAACCTTATAAACTGCCACAAAGAAAGCATGGTACCACGCCTGTAATCCCAGCACTTTGGGAGGCCGAGGCGGGCGGATCACGAGGTCAGGAGATCGAGACCATCCCGGCTAAAAAACGGTGAAACCCCGTCTCTACTAAAAATACAAAAAATTAGCCGGACGTAGTGGCGGGCGCCTGTAGTCCCAGCTACTCGGGAGGCTTAGGCAGGAGAATGGCGTGAACCCGGGAGGCGGAGCTTGCAGTGAGCCGAGATCCCGCCACTGCACTCCAGCCTGGGCGACAGAGCGAGACTCCATCTCAAAAAAAAAAAAAAAAAAAAAAAAAAAAAAAAGAAAGCATGGTACCTCAATATTTAGAGTATTTCATTCCCAAGAAATATTTTATGGAAGTTAAAACGAAGAAGATAGCCAAAGCGGGTTATATACACATCACGATATTGATTCTTCCTATTCAGGAGGATGGGATGCTTTTCCATTTGTTTGTGTCCTCTCATTTCCTCGAGCAGTGGTTTATAGTTCTCCTTGAAGAGGTCCTTCACATCTCTTGTTAGCTGTATTTCTAGGTATTTTATTCTCTTTGTAGCAATTGTGAATGGGAGTTCATTCGTGATTTGGCTCTCTGATTGTCTATTGTTGGTGTGTAGGAATGCTTGTGATTTTTGCACATTGATTTTCTGTCCTGAGACTTTGCTGAAGTTGCTTATCAGCTTAAGGAGTTTTGGGGCTGAGATGATGGGGTTTTCTAAATATAGGATCATGTCATCTGCAAACAGAGACAATTTGACTTCTTCTCTTACTATCTGAATACACTTTATTTCTTTCTCTTGGCTATTGCCCTGGCCAGAATTTTCAATACTATGTTGAATAGTAGTGATGAGAGAGGACATCCTTATCTTGTGCCAGTTTTCAAAGGGAATGCTTCCAGCTTTTGCTCATTCAGTATGATATTGGCTGTGGGTTTGTCATTTATGACAACAGCTCTTATTATTTTGAGATATGTTCCATCAATACCTAGTTTATTGAGAGTGTTTAACATGAAGGGATGTTGACTTATCGAAGGCCTTTTCTGCGTCTGTTGAGATAATCATGTGGTTTTTGTCATTGGTTTTGTTTATGTGATGGATTACATTTATTGATTTGCATATATTGAACCAGCCTTGCATCCCAGGGATGAAGCTGACTTAATCGTGGTGGATAAGCTTTTTGATGTGCTGCTGGATTTGGTTTGCCAGTATTTTATTGAGGATTTTTGCATCGATGTTCATCAGAGATACTGGCCTGAAGTTTTCTTTCTTTGTTGTGTCTCTGCCAGGTTTTGGTATCAGGATGATGCTGGCCTCATAAAATGAGTTAGGGAGGAGTCCCTCCTTTTCTATTGTTTGGAATTATTTCAGAAGGAATGGTACCAGCTCCTCTTTGTAACTTTGGTAGAATTTGGCTGTGAATCTGCCTAGTCCTGGGATTTTTTTTGGTAGGCTATTCATTACAGCCTCAATTTCAGAACTTGATATTGGTCTATTCAGGGATTCGACGTCTCCCTGGTTTAGTATTGGGAGGGTGTATGTATCCTGGATTTAAAACATTTCTTCTAGATTTTCTAGTTTATTTGCATAGAGGTGTTTATAGTATTGTCTAATGGTACTTTGTATTTTTGTGGAGTCAGTGGTGATATCCCGTTTAGCAATTTTTATTGTGTCTATTTGATTATTCTCTCTTTTATTCTTTATTAGTCTAGCTAGCAGTCTATCTATTTTGCTAATTTTTTTCAAAAAGCCAGTTCCTGGATTCACTGATTTTTTGAAGGGTTTTTGATGACTCTATCTCCTGCAGTTCTGCTCTGATCTTAGTTATTTCTTCTGCTAGCTTTTGGATTTGTTTGCTTTTGCTTCTCTAGCTCTTTTAATCGTGATGTTAGGGTGTTGACTTGAGATCTTTCTAGCTTTCTGATGGGGCCATTTAGTGCTATAAACTTCCCTCTTAACACTGCTTTAGCTGTGTCCCAGAGATTCTGGTACATTCTCTTTGTTCTCATTGGTTTCAAAGAACTTCTTGACTTCTGCTTTAATTTCATTATTTACCCACAAGTTATTCAGGAGCAGGTTATTCACTTCGCATGTAGTTGTGTGGTTTTGAGTGAGTGTCTTAATCCTGAGTCCCAATTTTATTGCACTGTGGTGTGAGAGACTGTTTGTTATGATTTCCATTCTTTTGCATTTGTTGAGGAGTGTTTTACTTCCAATTATGTGGTCAATTTTTGAATAAGTGCCATGTGGCACTGAGAAGAG